>NC_000001.11:56523531-56675047 GCF_000001405.40 Homo sapiens | reverse complement strand
GGGAAAAAAACACATTTGCCTTCCTAAAAGCTTTATGGTTATAGTACTACTTTCAGTTCTACAAGTAATATACTATGTGAAATAATCTTTGACATATACTTTCTATCTTTCCAAAGGAAAAAATACCCTGAATGTTAGTGAAAATTGACTAGATAAAAATTATAAAAATGAATCTAGAAATGTCAAAGCCCTGAATGACATTTAAAGTTGGATAAGAATCAACTTCTAAATGTGATGAATCAACTTCATTCATCACTTGAGAATTGATGTACTAATTTAGAAACATAAATTGAGTACTAATTTAGAAACATAAATTGAGTACTAATTTAGAAACAATGTCTGTTCAGTCTAACCAAGAGTATGCAAAAAAAGGACTGATAAAGGTTAAATGAATTAACACTTGCTGAATATGAACATGAAAAAAAATCTTTGTAAAAGGTTAACAATTAACAATTATTATAAAATTCCTAAAAAACATTTTAAGATAGGTGTCTCTTTGGTATTATTAGATACAAAAATACTTACAGTTTGATAATATGAGGATGACGAAAGAGTTTTAGATTTTGAATTTCTCGTTTTATTTTTCCAACAACATCTAAACTGCGAATCTTCTGTCTATTTAAGATTTTAACTGCCACTTTATGGCCTGTTAATTGATGTTCTCCAACTAAAGAAAAGAAAAAGGAAAAAAAATGTGCTATCATATCAACATAATCATTTATTCATGCTTCCTTCCATTGTGCCCTAAACTTCTCTACTCATATATACCATCTTTATATCCCTTGTTGTACAAAACTACAGTTCTTTTTACTTCTATTTCTTCTATTAGAGTATGCACTCTCTGAGGACAGAAACTGTATCTTAGTCATCTCTGTATCTTTTGCACCTAACAGAGACGTTCCTATTTGTGGAATATTTGTGAAAATGATTACTGAATTCTATATTCTTACTAAAAACATAATCAACTTTAGAACATTGTTTGGACAGGAGAGAACTCACTGTTTCATTAATCTCTTTGTTTCTCTTCTTCTGTTTAATGCCAGTCATTGTATTATAGAAGAATAAATAGTGTAATAAATCAAAAATTCACAGTAATTACTATTTCAACAGAGAATTCACACCTAGCCCTTTTTTGTGCCTTTTTCATAAAGTCCTCTTATTTTCCCCCATTTGATGGAATCTCTATCTCTTTCAAACTGTTATAGTATGTTTATAAAACTCATGTGTCATTTACCATTTTTAATCTTTTATAAACATTTGCATTTGTGACAATCACATGACCTGAGCTATTAGCTCATACTCTCCTTGGACAAGATGACCAGTGCTCATCTGAATCTCTCAGGAAGTATATGCGCACAGTGCTTTGTACACAGAGGTGCTAAATCAATATATTCTATGATAAATATAGTCATTCTGTTTTTTCATATAACACATTCATGGCATCCACACTAACAGTGATATCTTTAAATACTGTTCAGGTGAAAAATCCCTCAGTCGAAGAACAAATTTGTCAGCTACCTCTCCCATTTTCCTCAATTCTATTCTAATCTTTCACTACTCTCCTCAAAACATCTATCTAACCCTCCTTTCAGTGACAAACACCCTTTTTTATTTCTTTAGAGAACATGGAAGTCATTTGGAGTGACTTTCCCTATCTTTTCATTTATTTATTTTGAGACAGGGTATTGTTTTGTTATCCAGGCTGGAATGCAGTGCAGTGAACATAGCTCACTGCAGCCTCAACCTCCTGGGCTCAAGTGATCCTTCTGACTCAGCCTCCCAGTAGCTGGCACTACAAGAATGTGCCAGCATCCCCAGCTAATTTTTCTTTAAATCTTTGTAGAGATGGGGTCTCACCATGTTGCTCAGGCTGGTCTTGAACTCCTGGGCTCAAGTGATCCTCCTGCCTCAGCCTCCCAAAGTGCAGGGATTACAGGTGAACCCCAATTTCCTCTATCTTAAAGGCTTACTTCTGTCCACATCCCTCCTCCTATTCAAAGCCAGTCTCGTCAACTTTGGCCTTGAACCCATCTTTTCTACACTGTCCTCATATTCAACCTTTTTCCTTTTCTAATGGCTATTTCTCTTAAGCCTATCCAAATCATATACCCTCCAAAACTTTTCCATTGATCCTGTATCTTCCTCTAGTTTCCAACTTGTCTCATTAAAATTTCTCAAGAGTAGTTACAGTAGTTACATTTATTGCCTTCTTTTCCTCCCTTATCACCATCCCTAAATTCACAGCTATCTGGTTTCCACCTCCACTCTACGGATACCAAACAGTCACAAAATACCCATTAATTAACAAGCCATGGATACTTTTCAGTTCTCAGATTACTATAACCTCTATTTCATCAGACACCATACCTCTTTTTGGTGGTATTTCTCTCTCCTGTTTCTCCTACTAACTCTCAGATGGCTTCCTTTATGTCCTCTGCCTGTTCTTTGAAGGTTAGTATCCCCAGGTTTCAAACCTAGGCCCAAGGTAGACCCTTATGTTATGTCATTCATCTCCCATAGTTTTAATTATCACCCATATGCCAGTGACCTCTGTCCCTCCTTTAAATTCATATTTCAAGATTAATATCCCAGAAATAACTCAAGTTCAACACATTCAAAACTAAATTCAAGGGCCAAGCATGACAGCTCATGCCTGTAATCCCAGCACTTTGGGAGGCTGAGGCAGGTGGTTCACTTGAGCCCAGGAGTTCGAGACCAGCCTGGGCAACATGGCAAAACCCCATCTCTACTAAAAATAAAAAATTAGCTGGGTGTGGTGGCACATGTCTATAGTCCCAGCTACTTAGGAGGGTGAGGAAGGAGGATCCCTTGAGCCTGGGAGGCGGAGGTTGTAGTAACCCAAGATGGTGCCACTGCAATACAGCCTGGGTGACAGAGTGAGACCCTGTCTCTAAAAAAATGAAAAACAAAAACAAAAAAACCACATTCAGCATTCTCCTCCTCTTCTTCACCAAACTTGTGTCTTCTATTTCACTTGGTAGCACATAGCATATATGCTACAAATGAAAAAGTCAACTGATATAATCTCCTAAATATTTCTTGGAGTCATATTTTAACTCATTTTGAGAAAAACATTAATAATGATGACAAAAGTGACCATTAATGACATTTATTGTTTATTATGTACTAAGCTTTATTCTAAGTGCTAGCTTCCCTGCTCTCTCAACTCTATGAAGTATTATTACCCTCCAGTGTATAGATGAGAAACCTGAGGCACAGAGGAGCTAAATAAGTCACCCAAGGTCACACAGTAAGTGATGGCATAACATCTGACCTGGGCTGTCTGACTTCAGAGCCAGCATAACTGCCACAGAGTAATACCCTCAGTCAGAGTACTCCAAACATGTAATGCGATGACTTAGGAAGAACTGAGTTTCTGTCGCTGGAGATTATTTTTATCTTAATAACTTTTGCAAACTGTAAATTATGTCAAAAAATTTAATGAAGCTTGAAAGTTACTTTCTCAGCATATAAAACAAACAAAGTGAGACATATCAAGTTCAAGCAATATAACTTGCTAACATTTCAAAATATGTTTCTAGGACTCCAGAAAAACCTTACCGATTTCTAGGAACTTTCTATTCAATTAAAATAAGTTAAATGGTTTCTTGATACCTGGGTAGTTTATTACTCATCTTTGGGAATTTTATAAGACCCAAACACCTTGCCAGGCTGGTCTAACAAATACGTCTCTCTCCTTAAATCCCCAATAGCCTCAATGAAATAACTAGCACTGAAATCCCTACAATGGGGATTTAGCCTTTTTTGCCTAATAACGTCATAATTGGTACTTAACCATAATTAAATCCAAACCTAACCACATTCCACCTGAAAGCTGAATGAATGTTCCTGAAAATCTTGTAATAAATACAGATTTAAGGTCAAGAATTTCTTCTATGTATATTACAGATATAAACTTTTGTTTGTGTAAATCGAAACAAAAGAAATTAAAAGAAAAGGCTTGGATGCCTCAAAGTTTTATTACCATTCATTTATTCAATCTCAAAACATTTGCCGAGCATATGCAAGAAACGTTGATCATAGACAGACACATGAGAAGAGATTTTTTAATACGCCTCCAAGTTTTGGGGGGTGGGGAGACCGCAATAAATAAACTGAAATAAATCTTGTACAGTATTACATCTGCCTGAAGACTGTCAGATATACCATATTCATAAAGAGTAGATGAGAAATAAAATTATAAAAACACCAATAATAAATAATCTTGCCATAATTTATCATGTATACACGTAAATATCCAGATCAATACCTACTTTGACAGGAGCAATTAGAAACATTCATCTGTTGAACAACGATTTAATGAAGGCCTACTCAAGTAAGTAGCTATACTAATTACATTACACTGCTGGTTGTCCCCCAATATCTTCTGCATCTTTCTTTCTCCCATACATCAAACTCCCAAATTACAACTGAGTACATGGCTACCCAGCGTACAGCCTGCATCTTAGCCTCTCTTGTAACTATTAATAGATGTGGCCACCTGAGTATGTTCCAGCCAATGAGATATAAAGCAGAAATGTCCCTGGCAACTTATTCCTCATCCCTTCCTTCATCCTGAAGCCTAGAATTATCAAAGCCACCATTTTGCACCTCAAGACCAGACTTAAGAAGGGGAGAGCAACAGGAAAGAGAAAACCATATTTTTGACACCATCAGACATAACAACAGTCTACATCACCTGCTCAGACTTTTACAAGACAGCAAAATACTGCTATTTGTTTAAGCCATTCTTATTTTGGATATTTCTGTCACTCAAAGCTGAATCTAAATAATACACTATTTAGAATATTTTAAAACTCAAAAGGTTTGGAATCTAGTTCAAATTTCCAATTTTGCTGAGTAACCATATATGAGTTGATGGAAACAAATTTTAATTTATAGTCCACACAATTTTTTGGATTAAAAAGTTAAAGAGCTCTACAAAATTATCACCCATTAGTGGTTCATTTTGTTTTTCCTAAATTTTAGCCAAAATACACAAAACACTCTCTAAAGCTATGGAATTTTAAGAGGGGAAAAATCCACACTCACCCGAACTATGCCTTTTATATTTTACGTTTGATAAGGTGAAGAATTGTCACACAGAAGGAATTAAACTGATTTATGTTGTTCCAGAAGGCAGAACTGGGAACTGTCAATAGACTCTCCTTCAACTAACAGACTTGTCTGATCCATGAAGCCTCCCCTAAACTTGCTTTTCACCACTCTGGTCTATGCTGAAAATTTCATTTTTTAAGGTAACTACTATATGCTGAATATACTTTTTTTCCACCAGATGTATAATGCAAACATTTACTTGATTCTCAGTTCATCTCTCAATGCTAGATGGGATGGGGTCAGAGGCTAGATCCCTTGTGTCTTCGCCTATTGTCAGGAACACAGATGCTGGCAATAATAAGCCAGGAAATGGGGCTGGGTAAAAATTTGCAGAGAGGTTAAGAATTTGCCTGTGGTCACTCAACTAGTAGGTGAGTGACCATGGTAGATCCCAGTAGGCAGGGCTGGGTTTAAACCCAAGCAGCATGTCCCCAAAATCAGCACTTTTTTTTTTTTCTGAGACAGTCTGTCACCCAGGCTGGAGTGCAGTGGTACGATCTCAGTTCACTGCAACCTCTGCCTCCCGGGTTCAAGTGATTCTCCTGCCTCAGCCTCCCAAGTAGCTGGAATTACAGGCACGCACCACCACACTTGGCTAATTTCTGTATTTTTAATAGAGACAGGATTTCACCATGTTGGCCAGGCTGGTCTGGAACTCCTGACCTCAGGTGATCTGCCTGCCTTAGCCTCCCAAAGTGCTGGCATTACAGGTGTGAGCCACCGTGCCCAGCCAAAATCAGCACTCTTAATGCATCATCCAGTATTCAAACAGAGGAAGCTCAGCCATTTATCAGGATTATCATAAGATAAATTCCTGCATTAAATAACAGGTTGGAGTAGATCAAAGCTAATTCCCCTTCCAACTCTAAGACTTTCCTAATGATATCCCTGAGGATCATTCCACATTGAAGGGTATAAAGCTTTTAAGCCACTCCTGCCTCTTGACGATTTCGGTTGCCACTTTCTGGATGCTTTTCAGTTTTGACACATTTGTCTTTATATACAAGACACAGAACTTCACATAGCTGTGTTATACAGGTATAAATACACAATCGTTTTACACAAAGATTAAAAGTTTTCAAATTTCCAATATCATTCCCATATGAAGTCCAGCATTTTTTACCACAGGCAAGACACTACAGTTTCATAAGGCATAGTTTGGAACACTTCTGTATCTGTACATCATCCCATAGTAATTCATATCAGATACATCCTCATTCTATTTTAATATATTATATAGTTTAGGATATTATCATATCTAATAAAACAAAAGGAACAATTAAAAAATAATTATTTGGGGCCAAAATTATAACCTATTTTTCTGCTAGGATCAAAGAAAAGAGTTGCCAAAATGTAAAGGCTATGGAAATACTGCATAATAATTTGAACTAGCCCAAAGAAAATGAAGCTTCAGTCCACAAAAAGAATCTAAGTACTTAATTTCACATGCTCCACTGGACAAGGTGCTGAAGGTGGTATTTCTTTTTTTTTTTTTTTATACTTTAAGTTTTGGGGTACATGTGCACAATGTGCAGGTTTGTTACATATGTATACATGTGCCATGCTGGTGTGCTGCACCCACTAACTCGTCATCTAACATTAGGTATATCTCCCAATGCTATCCCTCCCCCCTCCCCCCACCCCACAACAGTCCCCAGAGTGTGATGTTCCCCTTCCTGTGTCCATGTGATCTCATTGTTCAATTCCCACCTATGAGTGTACTCTAAAGAGTCCCTGACTGGTGTACAAAATTTGTTTTTAAGCTACTTTTTTGGTGCTTGAAAAGTTTTTCTTCTCTTTGGAAGTGTGGCAATCACAGTGCTCCCAGGAAGTTATTAGTCTATATAATAAGTAAAATCAAGTCTATCATCGTATTTTATCTAAATAAATAAAATCAAGCCTACCATTGTATTACCATAGCTTAAAAAGTTTCTTAGAACTTTTGGGACATATTTGGGGTGGTCTGACTTAAAATTTAGACTAAAAAGAAAATGTGCACTAAGTCCTTCAGGAGGGTCTCCAAGTGAAGGCACAAGAGAGACTACCAAGAAATGGACATCATCCTTCAGGGTGTCTACAGAAGTCAATTTATAATCCAGATTTGTAGCAGGGGTTATTTAATGACAGTTAATTATTCTTTCTCACAAATCTGTGAGGGATACCTTAGCAGGTGTGTATCTATATGTATATATACATGTTTAACATTTTATATACATTGTTTCATTTAAGCTTTTAATGACTGTATGAGGAAATTTTATAGATGTGGAAACTAAGACTTAGAGAAATTCAAACTGACTAGTAATGGACAAAATCAGTATTTAAATCCAGATCTATCCTTTTCTAAAGCCTATGTTCCTAATGATTATACTATAATGCAATCTGTGGTTACCCAACGAAAGATTTAACTCATAATATATGAAATAATGCTATCATATTAAAGGTATTATAGAATTTATTAATACACACCATATGTAATAATAATTTGGGTTTGGGAGAAGTGACACTTAGAATTCCAAGTTTAGATGCTAGAGATATAGCCTTCCAGTTGGAATGGCATTTTTGGCTACCAGTTACAATGTTCCCCTCACGACCCTAAACAGTCTGAAGGCCAGACCTTTAAATTGGCCCTAAGTTTAAGAGGTGGGGGAAAAAAACACTGGGGGCAAGAATGAATGAAATGAGGAACGAGCATAGATAAGTTTTGGCTCTGATGGAAGGCATGTGTATCAGTCCTCAGCCAGCTCCACTATCTTATTTTCTGTAGACCCTGAATCAGAAACACTTCTCTTTCCACTAATTGCTTTTGACCAAAGTGTCCATATGTTATGAAATACTTTAGTAGTAAGAAAGATTAGTCTTCTGTATACCCTGTAATTACAGGTAAGGCAAGCTGACTGAAATGAAAACCAAGGGGAAGATTCAAGAATTTTGTACGATGGTGTTGGACAGAAGCTCTGGTAGTCAGGACAAATTATGGTACCATATAGAATGGAGGCTCCACTGATATTGGGAAGCTGAAACCCATTCTACACTCACAGCATGTTATGCACCTAATTGGAAAATTGGAGTAAGAAGGTAATCAGAATGGTTGAATATTAAAGGACTTCATATAGTGCTATAGGTATACATAAAGTATTTATATAATACATATATATGTCTCTGCCTGTCTTTCCTGTAACATCATTCACTATTCCCTCACCTCAAATGTTATACTTCAGTCATTTAGAACTATTTGGAACTTCCCATAAGGACTGTGCTTTCTCTCATTTTCAGAGCCAACACATGCCCAGTTTATGATAAGCATTCAGCAAATTTCAGTTGAACTGTATTCAATGGAATACATAAATGCCATTAAATATGTGAACTATTTAAATTCCCATTCACCAAATCTCCAATGCATCACATGTCTATGTCTCATTTGTCTTTCAAATGAAGTACCGTCTTTCAGTAAGCATTCCCTAACTAGCACCCCATTCCCCAACTCATTCCACCAACTCAACAGTCTGATTAAGTGATGTTCTAATGTAATCCCACAGCTCCTCTTCCTGGTGGCTCTTAACATCAAGTGCTGTAATTACCTACTTTGCTGTTGTTGTTACTGATCTCCTTTACGGTGGCTAGCTCCTTCAGAACAGGGTCTGTGTCTCATTTATCATTGATCCTTGGCATCTGGCACAGTACCTAACACATAACTAACACTCAGTAACTATTTATTTACTGTATGGAAAAAAAATGCATGACTAACTCTAATACTTGGGGTGCGTGAATATATGATACAGGCTTCACAATCTACTAGTATTGCTGCTTTAGAATATGAGGTGTATGTAAGTTTGGTGTGCTAATCACTCTCATATCTGAGCAAACCAACAAACACCTATCAAAAGAGAGTTATTATCTATATATTCCAAGTCCTAAAGAATCCTATGTAGTACTGCATTCCAGAAGCTTCTAAATATGGAAAAGAATCAGAAGAAAAAATAATAACCATCAGCACCAGAACTACAATTTAGTCAAGGTCCGGGCATTACAAAAGAAGGTATATGTCTCACAGGAAAACAGATTTAGAAAAGAGGAGATCTAGATAGTCAATAAACATGAAAAGGTGCTCAATATCATGGGTCATCAGAGAAAAGTAAATTAAGACCACAATGCAATACAATACCATAATACACCCACCAGAATAGCACAATAAAAAAGACAGACAATGCCATGTATTAGTCAAGAAATACAGCAACTGGAACTTTTATAGGTTGCTGGAGGGAATGTAAATTAGTGCAAACACTTGGGAAAACAATAAATTGATGCAAAATGGGTAACTACTAAAACTGAACATGTATATACTCTATGACTCAGTGATTTCACTCCCAAGTATTATAACCAACAGAAATGCATAAATTAAAAGTGCTCAAGTGCTTTGAAGTATTTATAAGAAGCTTTCAATGCTGCTAATCTATGTACTTAAACTTTAGGTAGCAAAGATCTAAGAAATGGAAAGAAAAGTACTCGTACATTGTACTTTAGAAAGGTACTAGCTAGGCTGGGTGTGGTGGCTCAAGCCTGTAATCCCAGTACTTTGGGAGGCCAAGGTGGGCAGATCACTTGAGGTCAGGAGTTTGAGACCAGCATGGCAAACATGGTGAAACCCTGTCTCTACTAAAAATACAAAAACTAGCTGGGTGTGGCGGTGGGCACCTGTAATCCCAGCTACTCACAAGGCTGAGGCAGGAGAATCGTTTGAACCGGGGAGGCGGAGGTTGCAGTGAGCCAAGACAGTGCCACTGTACTCTGGCCTGGATTTTTTTTGGACGCTGTCTCAAAAAAAAAAAAAAAAGATAGGAACTAGCTAGAGCGGATATCCAAGGCAGGAAAGACCAGACAATTCTGGGGCCTAAAAGATAAAGCAATTGAGGAAAGGTAGTTATGATATCAATAGAAAACAGGTAATTCTGAAAGGCAGCTAATAGTAATGGTAATGCGTGCCTCATACTTAGCAAGCTGTTTGTATGTATGTATATATGTGTGTGTGTGTGTGTGTGTGTGTGTGTGTGTGTGTACACATATACTTATGCATACATGTGTTTCTATGTATATAAATGCATTAAGCACTTTATATATTTTTTAATTTAAATTCTACAAGAGTTCCTGTAGAAGAGAAAACCCAGGCTCGCAGAGTTTAAGACACTTAACCAAATTGCATATAAGCAATCAATTTTGGAGCTGTGATTCAAAGCTATACCTTGCTATCTCCAAAGCAAGTCTCAAGGGGAAAAAAATTTGCTCTCTTTGCATTTCCTAAGAGTCCTGAACAGTCCTATTGCTACTGTTAAAAATACACCAGAAACTGCACACACAAACATGCATGTAAAAAAAGATCAAAATATTTTTAAAGTAAAAATAACTTATTAAATATAAACAAGTAAATATTAGACCAGAAACAACATCTGAACTAAAAAGAAAAATATTTAAAAAATTCAAAAAATTCATGGAAATGCATATTATGAAAAAACTATGCATGGATATCAAAAAACTTTTGTACCAAAATAAACTATTACATGTCTGAACAGGATCTAGTTTGAGGCACTAAGAAGGATAAGCAACAGTTTAAAAAGAGTCCCTATTAAAGCAACATGAATTCTGCTAATGTTAAAGCAAAAACAAACATCAAATTTATATCGAAGCATTAATGGAAGTATGGTGAAATCATTGAGGCCTTATGAAAAGTTTATGGGAACAATGACTCAAAGAAATCAGCAGTTTACAAATAGGTAATTTGTTTTAAGAAGGGACAAGAAGAGTTTTTTGTTTTGTGTTGAGGCAGGGTCTCACTCTGTTGCCCAGGCTGGAAGGCAGTGATGCAATCACTGCTCCCTGCAACCCTGACCTTCTGTGTCAAGTGATTCTCCCACCTCAGCCTCCAGAGAAACTGTAACCATAGGCGTGCACCACTATGCTCAGCTAATTTTTTATTTTTTGTAGAGACAGGGTCTTGCTATGTTGCCAAAGCTGGTCTCAAACTCCTGGGCTCAAGCGATCTTCCTACCTCTGCCTCTTAAAGTGCTGGGATTATAGGGGTTAGCCACCATGCTTGGCTGACAAGATGATTTTGAAGATGAAGCCCATAGCAGCAGACCACCCTCACAGATTTGTAAGAAAAAAAATTAAATATTGTTCATGCCTTAATTGAAAAGGACAGGCAGAAATGACAGCCGACATCATAGGCATGTCAATCGATTTAGTTTGACACAACTCTGCCTAAAAAGTTAAAGTTGAGCAAACATTCCACTCAATGGGTGTCAAAACTGTTGCACTCAGATCAGCTGCAGACAAGAGCAGAGCTCTCAATGGAAATTTTAAATAGGTAGCTTCAATATCCTGAAGCATTTCTTCGAAGAGTTGTAATAGGAAATGAAACATGGCTTTTCCAATATGATCCTGAAGACAAAGCACAGTCCTGACAATGGCTACCAAGAGGTGGAAGTGGTCCAGTTAAAGTACAGTGGACTGGTGAAGAGCAAAGGTGGGCTAGGCGCAGTGGCTCACACCTGTGAATCCCAACACTTTGGGAAACAGGGGCGAGAGGATCGCTTGAGCCCAGGAGGACGAGACCAGCCTGGCAACATAGCAAGACCCCGTCTCTTCAAAAATATTGTTTAAAATGACCCAAGTGTGGTGGCACAGGCCTACAGTCTCAGCTACTCAGGGGGCTGAAACAAGAGGATCACTTGAGTTCCAGGCTGCAGTGAGCTATGATTGCGCCACTGCCCTCCAGCCTCAGTGACACAAAGACCTTGTCTCTTAAAAAACAACAAACAAACAAAAAACAACAAACAAACAAAAAACAGAGCAGAGTTCATGGCAACAGTTTTTTGGGATCTTCAGGCATTTTGTTTATTGACTCTCTGGAGGGCCAAGGAACAACAACATCTGATTATTAGAGTGTTTTGGGAAAGTTAGCCAAAACCTTAGCAGAAAAACTCCCATGGAAAGCTTCACCAAAGAGTCCTTCTCCACCATGACAATGCTCCTGCTCATTCCTCTCATCAAACAAGGGCAATTTGCATGAATTTTCAAGGAAAATCATTAGGCATCCAACTTACAGTTCTGATGTGGCTCCTTCTGACTTTGTTTCCTAATATTAAAAAAAAACACACACACACCTTTAAAACAAACCTATTTTCTTTTAGTTACTCATGTAAAAAAGACTGCACTGACATGGTTAAACTCTGAGGACTGTAAATTCTTTAGGAATGGACTAAATGGCTGCTATCATTGCTTACAAAAGTATCTTGACCTTGATGGCATTTATGCTAAAAAATAAAGTTGGCCGGGCATGGTGGCTCATGCCTGCAATCAATCCTAGCACTTTGGGAGGCCAAGGCAGGAGGATCACATGAGCTCAGGAGTTTGAGACGAGCCTAGGCAACATAGTGAGACCTCGTCTGTATTTAATTTTTTTTTTAAATCATCTCTATTTAATTAAAAAATTGAAATTAAAATTAAAAATTAAAAATGTTTATATTTTTTATTTTTATCTTTTAATTCCATTTTTCCATGAATTTTTGAAGTGCTGTCATATGTTTTTCTCAAAGATATATAGTCCCAAATATAATCTGATGTTTCCTTTTTAATCAAAAGTTAAACTGCAGAAAAAAAGAGATTCTTCCTAAATTCAAGTTCTTATAAATCTTTCATCTTAAGAAGACACTTTCATCTTAAGAAGGCACTTTCTAAATTATTTTGAACGACAAATGACTATATGTAAGACACACTTGCCTAACAAATGTATCAATCTTTACTACATGGGAGAAAACTTCTGATGGAATCAGTAACAACAAAAAAGATACTTATCAAGGATATAGTAATATGATAATTATCCCTGAAGAATGATTTCACACATACAAATGTAGAATATCATTTTAAAGTCTTTTAAAGATTACTTTAAAAATTAGTATACTAAATAGTTACAACATAGTGAAGATTATAACTCAAAAAGACAAGTGAAAAAAAAACACCTGTGGTTGTAACATTGTATTAGCAGGTACCTGTTACAGTATTGTGTATGGATTCAAAAGTATTGCATCTCAAACAACTTAAATAACAATAAATATGGTATTCTAGAAAGCCATGGTAGATACCTGAAAAAATACTCCCAGTAATGACAAGAATCTGAAATGTGACAGTAGAAAAAAATATATTTCTAAAATAATATTTATATATATGGTTTTAAATTCACGTTTTTCTAAAATAATAAAAATAGAAAAAAGACAAGTACAGGAATGTGTAAAATAGCATTAATCATAACAACCAAGATGTAAAAACTACCAAATTTCCATCAGTAATAGAATGGACAAATAATAGTATAGTCTTAATGCAATACTATATAGCAATGAGAATGAATTACAACTACATGCAATGACATGGATAGATCTCATAAACATAATCCCATGTAAAGAAGCCAGATACAGTAGAATTCTGTCTCTATAAAGTTCAAAAACAGGTGAAACTATCCATGGATAGTGGTTCCCATTGGTGGGGTGGAGGTTGGAAACAAGGGGATATGGGACACAAGGGGACTTCTGGGATACTGGTCATTTTCCATGTCTTTATCAAAGTGGTGGTTACGTGGATGTGTTCAGTTTGTGAAAATTTATTGAGAATTTACGTAAAAGATGCCAGTATACTCTTGTATATGGAGTACAATAAAAACGTTAAGAACATTTGGAGGACACTATATACCTAAGCTGTGACGAGCCAAGAGATCACACATGTATCAGCCAGTTGGGCCTCATGGGGTGGTCAGCAACCTTAACTCATTCATGTCAAAAGCCGTAACTCTGGTGATCAGCAGCGTTATGTAATGCACATATGTTCCGACCCCTACCATCCCCAGACTCCTGCCAAAACAACACAACGCTCCTTTCACCTCTGCCCGTGGTGAAACAAAACAATCTCATTGCTCTTCTCCAAATTTCCTTTCCCTGAAAATCCTTTAAAGTTCTCTAAAGGATGGTTCTCACAAGGAAGCAAGAGACTTCCTTTCCTTTTTATCTACAACTTATTAAATAAGTACCATATTTATTAAATAGTACTTTATGTACATATTTAATTCCCAAAACTCCCACAAGGTAAATATTATTATGCCCTATTTACAAGTGAGCAAACTGGAAATTAGAAATTGGTGAGTGACAGGATGGTGTATCTGCCTCTAACGCCCAAGCTCAAAATTCACATAATTTTACCCTTCAATAATCAGGTTTCCTTGATTACAACGTATCAAGGGTGCTCACTTGCATGCTTAAGAGGATAAGCATTATCTCTAGCATTAGATTTGAGAAATGAGGTCACAGTGAAGGGATAGAGTCTAGTAGTGATAGGCTAAGGAGGGAGGGACAATGCATGAAAATAATCAAGTATGGAGAATTGCTGTGTTCAGTTAGAGAGTAAGGCTGGGGTAGGGCTGTGGCCTTTGTATGGATCAGATATACTAAGGTTAGTCATCAAGAAGTGCTGAAAAATCAAGAAAATAACACATGAACTGAAAGTCTTAAGAGTCTCTAAATCCCCTAATAAAATATGTAAAATGAACTTAAATGTTATTAAGAGAATGAACTTGTACATCCTTGAAGTCTTTCATTCATTTGCTCATTCATTCATTTAACAAATATGTTCTGAGTGTCTGATGTGTACTAGGCATTGCCTTGAATTGTGAAAATAAATGGAACTTGCCTTCTGGTGGAGAACATAAATAATAAACAAATATATAACATTATAGTTGTGCTTGGTGTGTTAGAAGACAAAAAATAAGGAAATTTTCTAATAGAAGAAACAGTGATGTAATGATGATACATGAAGAAAGCAGAGTGACAAGGTGACAGGAAAATGGGCTATTTTACATAGATCAGTAAAGACTTATGAAAATAATTTATTTTAGTAAAGACTTGCTCTACACCTAACTTCTTTAATTATGTGATATGCTGTATTCTGCTTTATTTATTTATTTAGAGACAGGGTCTCTCTTTGTCACACAAGCTGGAGTGCAGTAGGACGCTCACAGCTCACTGCAGCCTCAACCTCCCAGGCCTAAGCGATCCTCCCGCCTCAGTTCCCCAAGTCGCTGGGACTATAGGCACGTGCCACCATGGCTGGCTAATTTTTATGTTTCTTGTTGAGATGGGGTTTCGCCATTTTGTCCAGGCTGGTTCAAGGAATCCACCCGCCTCAGCCTCCCAAAGTGCTGGGATTACAGGAGTGAGATATGACACCTCTGCTTTATTTTTAAAATAAGTGTTTATACTGGCTTTAGATTGTAACTTTAAAATATTTCTTTAAAACGTTAATTTGTGCAGCAGCAATAAAAAGAAAAATAAATAAATAAAATATTTAATACCTTTTTTTTTCCTTTTTTTTTTTTTGAGACAGAGTCTTGTTCTGTCACCCAGGCTAGAGTGCGGTGGCATGATCTCAGCTCACTGAAACCTCTGCTTCCCAGATTCAAGCGATTCTCCTGCCTCAGCCTCTGAAGTAGCTGGGATTACAGACATGCACCACCATGCCCAGCTCATTTTTTGTATTTTTAGTAGAGACAGGGTTTTGCCATCTTGGCCGGCTGGTTTTGAATGCCTGGCCTCTCATGTGATTCACCTGCCTCGGCCTCCCTAAGTGCTAGGATTACAGGCATGAGCCACCGTGCCCAGCCAATAAAATACTTCTTTAAAATTTAAGTTAATCTAGGATTCCGCAGGAAAATCAACTTTATTTTTACATCATCATTTAAGATTAAAAAATAGAGTCAGGAATACAGTTTACAGCCAAGCATGGTGGTTCATGCCTGTAATCCAAGCACTTTGGGAGGCCCAGGCGAGAGGATCGCTTGAAGCCAGGAGTTTCAGACCAGCCCTGGCAACATAGGAAGACCCCATCTCTACAAAAAAAAAAAAAAATTAAAAATTAGCCGGGCATGGTGGCACTCGCCTGTAGTCCCAGCCACTCAGGAAGAGAAGGCAGGAGTTGGTGTGATGGAGCATACCTGGAGTCCCAGCTACTGCAGAGGCTGAGGTACAAGAATTGCTTGAGCCCGGGAGACAGAGGTTGCAGTGAGCCAAGATCATGCCATTGCACTCCAGCCTGGGGGACAGAGGAACACTCTGCCTCCAAAAAAGAAAAAAAAAAGAAGGCAGGAGGATCACGGAGGATCACTTGAGCCCAGGAGTTCGAGATTACAGTGAGCTATGATTGTGCCACTATACTCCAGCCTGGGCAACAGAGTGAGACCCAGACTCAAAACAAAACAAACAAACAAACAAAAAATGGCGGGGGGGGGGAAGAAAAAAAAAAACAACAACATTTACCATTATAAATTCTTCAACACTGTTGGAGAATGTATTAGCATTCAGTAGACTCTTTAACACCGTTGGAGAATGTATTAGCATTCAGTAGACTCTGCCAGCAACACTTATCCCAAAGCGTCATAAACCATGCCCTCTCTTAATGTCTTTCCAACTCTGGTCCTTATGTGTCTATTTTCTTTTTGTCTCTCTTATTCCACATGCTTCATCTCCTTCTTACTCGTCCTCCTTTATTTTCCTGTCTTCAAACAACTCCCCTTCCATTCTCATTAACCACCTCTGAATGTTTTCTTGTTGACTACATAATTTTACATTCCATAAAATTTCTTTTTAAAGTAGAGTTGTGGAATGATCTAGAATTCTCTCCAAAACAAAATAAGAAACATGATCTGTGTTTTTTTCTCTAGAGTCCTCAGGTTTCATTTTAATGGCTACCCCAGATATTACAACATGCATCCTTAACTTCAGTCTAATAAAAATTTGTGTTTTTACATTTCCCAAACAAAGCAAGGACTTTAGAACACTATAACTCTACTTTTTCTCATATCTTTTCTGTTCTTGCATTTCATTCCTACATATATTCTCAGTCTCGCAAGATATTATTTTGTATAGTCAGTATCTATTTAGTTACCCACATACTTAGACTTCCCAACGCTCTTCATTTCTTTTTGCATTTCTTCCTTCCACCTGGGGTCACTTTCTTTCCTCCTGAAAAATTGCCTTTGGTGTTCCCTTTGTTATATGTCTTCTGTTGACAAATTGTCTCAATTTGTGTTTGCATAAAAATGCATTTTGCCTTCCTTCCTTCTTTCATTCATTTATTTATTTTGAGACGGAGTCTTGCTCTGTCACCCAGGCTGGAGTTTTATTTATTTATTTATTTATTTTGAGATGGAGTCTTGCTCTGTCACCCAGGCTGGAGTGCAGTGGCACGATCTCGGCTCACTGCAACCTCTGCCTCCCCGGTTCAAGCAATTCTCCTGCCTCAGCCTCCCGAGTAGCTGGGATTACAGATGTGTGCTACCACATCTGGCCAATTTTTGTATTTTCAGTAAAGATGGGGTTTCACCATGTTGGCCAGGCTGGTCTCAAACTCCTGACCTCAGGTGATCCCCGCCTTGGCCTCCCAAAGTGCTGGGATTACAGGCATGAGCCACCACGCCCAGCTTACCTTTATTTTTGAAGAACATTTTTGCTGGGCATAAAATTATAAGCTGGCAGTTTGTTTCTTTTACCTCTTCGAAGGTAAAAAAAAATTCCATTCCATTTTTTCCTTGTTTTCACTGTTTTAGTTGGGGAGTCAACTTATTACTGTCCCTTTGAAGATAATACACTTCTTTTTTTTACCCCACCCCCTGGCTGCTTTTAAGATATTCTCAACATTTTTTTCCCATTTCTGCAAGGATAAATACAGTCTACACCAGCATAAGGGAGGCTCAAGAAAAGGGAATTGGTTTAGACCAGTTGCACAATGATATCTCTAGGAATGGTTTTCTTACATTTATTCTGCTGGGGGCTTCTGAATCTGTGGCTTGAGGCATTTAATCAGTTTTAGAATACTTTCTGCCATTATCTCTTCAAATGCTGCCTCTGCCCCATTCCCTTTGTCCTCTTCTTCTGGAATTATGTATTACCTGCTGTGTATGACCATCAGTGGTCTTGGATTCAAGATGACATTCATACCTCAGGATACAAAAGGTGGTAATGTTACATCAGTTTTACTTAGCTTTTTATGAGAACTTAGGACAGAAACACAGAACGTCAGGATGGCATAACCAAAAACATCTTCATCAGAAGTCCTTAAAATATTCAGCTGCTACTTCCATGCCTCCTCATCACACAGGGGTACATGAAGTTGGGAAGCCCGTATCAGTGGATACAGTACACTCCAGCATATACAAGCCTCAAACAAGAAATACTTCATAAAATAAGCCCATTCTTGCAACTTCTAAGCCTCCCATCAGGAAGTGCTTGAGTTTGAAGAGACACCTTAAAGGGAAACTGGACGTCTGTTTCCCTATAAGTTTTATGCTGGTAGAAATGGTGAATAATGTAGTCTCTTGGGAGTATAACATGTCCATTTGTAGTCCTCCCAGTCCAAATGCAGTTAACCAATCACAGGTCATTTTTACAATAAATACTGTTGTTGGCAATAGAACTGATAAATCACATTTATCTTAGTCTATGTCCAGAGAAACTCTATTAAAAGAAGGTAAACCTGGGGTTACCATTTTACAGAAAAGAAAAATGGAGGTTTGCAATTAACTTTTTCTATATAGCTTCCAATAATACATGTATTAGACTTTTCACTGTGTTCTCATATGTGTCTTATACTTTCTTTTCATCCTTTTGTCTATCTTTCAGTCTGGGTATTTTCTTCTGACCCATCATCTAATTCACTAATCCTCTCTTCAATGGAATCTAATCTGCTATTAATCATCTAAAAGATAATTCAATTATTGTATTTTTTCAGTCCTAGAATTTCCTTTATTTTTATAGATTCCAGTCCTCTGCTAATATTCTCCACTTTAAACAAAAGTATCAGTTATTTAAAATTCTGTGTTTGATATCTTTACTATCTGCATCCCCTACAAACCTGTTTCTATTATCTTCACCCTGTCTCTTAGAATGCTGAACATTGTGTATGAAAATCTGTAGAGGCTCTGACAGTTTTATCTTCCCCCAGAGAAGAAAGGTAAGAGGCAGATCAATCTGAGATTAAGCTTATTCTAAGCAGGATATCCGTCTTCAGAGGGTTGCAGCCAAAAACCCAACTGTTTATCAGACTCTCCTTGATAAACTGCGAACTCCAACTGTTGCCTCACAAGACTCAAACTCTTCCTAGTTCTTCTGCCTTTTAGCCACTTCACATAGTCTGGATATTTGTCCTATCCAAATCTCACACTGAAATTTAATCTCCAATGTTGGAGATGGGGCCTAATGGGAGGTGTTTGGGTCATAGGAGAAGATCCCTCATGAGCAGATGAACACTGGTAAAAAACATTTTGCTTAAAATCCCGTATGACTAAACACAGCAAATACTTTATATTGATTGTATTATTCCATTAATTAAGACTGGAAAAACTGGAATCAATTATGGAACACCATATAGTTCCAACTTATACTCAAACACATTAAAAAAAAAAAAAAGCTGGGCATGGTGGCTCATGTCTATAATCTCAGCATTCTGGGAGGCCAATATAGGTGGATCACTTGAGCCCAGGAGTTTGAGACTACCTGAACAATACAGTGAGACCCTGTCTCTACAAAAAAAAAAAAAAAATATATATATATAGATATATAAATACATACATTGTGAGAAACAGTAAAATGATTTTTTTAAAAAGAAAATGAAAATAACTTATACTTATCATATTGCCCAAGTAAAACAAGCATTTAGAAAAAAAAAAGTATGGTATATTTAAAAATGTTAGATCTATTGTTTTATGACAGTCAGTTTAACTTACCTTATAATTCATTTATAATTTAGAAACTGAGATGTTGAATAAGAACACACTGTTCTTGTTTTAATAGTATATATAATCTGAAGAAAAATGATTCTGAAAAAACAAAGTATATTAATAACATACTAACATTCAGAGTAAGAGACATATAGCAAGATTTTATAAATTATCTTTAATCATATAAAAGGCTGTTTAAAAAGATCTAATGGCAGATTAAAAAGAGAATTATGAATATTTTAAAAACAAAGGTACCACCCAAAGAAATACATAAAATTTATCAGAGGCAAACACTGCCAAACATAAGACACCACTTAAGCAAGAATACTGTTCCCTTGAAGGGGTGAAGAAGGCTTCTATTATTAGCAGAGATAACTGCCTGAAATTCTTTCCTTAATAACACCATACTAAAAATAAAAAGGTTCATCATATTTCAAAATAAACACATTGCTTTTCATACGCATTTCAATCACTTCAATAACAGATAAAAATAAAAGCCTGATTTAAGGTTTACATTTCTCTTATATTTGTAGTTGATAAATACACTAGGTAGATTTGCTCTCATTTTTATAACATATTTAATGCTTTAAGGGTCTTGTGCCAGCCACTTACTCATTATTTCTTAAAGGATTTGAGATTAGATCTTCCTGCTAGGTCAAATTAAATTATCTGCTTGGCTTCAAAAATTATTAATACTTCCTCTACAAAATATTTTCTCTATCATTTAGGAAACCACAGGAATCTCAGAAGAATAAATGGGGTGGTATTATTATTACAAAGCAGTACCAAATGCTTTCAAGAAAGCTAACATGGACCACAAGGTAAGTGGACATTTTGGGATGTTTTTACAAAAAGAAGCAAGATAAAGCATGGTTGTGTCAGCATGAAAAAGGGAGAAAGCTCATGGAACTGAGGTAATTACCTCAATATATGACCAAACTACAAAATCCTTTCTAATTTATATGGATATGTTAAGATAAAGTTTGGTAGAAAAGCATTTTTAGCTCAGAGTGTATTATCTGAACTGAAAATATATGTATAGCCTCATTTTGGTTCTACTACAAGTGGACCAGGACTTTAAAATGACCCATTCATACTAAATGCCATCTGCTGCCCACACTTTCCCCCTTCCCAGCTTATGCCTCTTTCCTCCAAGAGTTTCTATGATGGATACCATGGGATCTGGAATACATACATACATATATATGTATGTATACAAAATATATATAATGTGTTTGTGCCTTCCAAGTGATGCACAGAAGATGGTGAAAAGTGAGCAGCTTCTAGAGAATTACAGGTTTCTGAACACATTCATTTGCAGAAATAAGACCAGAGTAAAACAAGACAGGAGGTAGTGAATTCTTCCCTCTCTCTCATCAATAAATTTCTGGTCTCAGAACCAGATCACAGATTATTCTCATAGTTCAGCTAATTGTGGGTTTAAGTACATAATGGTGTCTACATACACAAAAGTACATAAGTACTTCTGAGTGCTTTTTCATCTATGTACATTTTCTCATGTACTTCTCACAACACTAGAAGAGAACATATGGTATTATTCCCATTTTTACAGATTGAGTTTGACCACATAGCTGGTTTATGACAAAACAAAGGTTCCACACCAGGTCTTCTAAGTTCAACATACTACAGAGAGTATTTATACTACATCAGGCTGCCTTTGTGGACATACTATGAAAATAGCTACCATTTATAACATTGTTTCCTATTTAAAATACCCTTTGAAAGTCAATCAACTGGCTACACCAAATGAACAAAATCCATTCAGATATTAAGGACACAATTCAAAAATCATATAAATTATATATATATTATATATATCTATATATATCAGCAAGAGAAACCTAAATAGCACGTATTTACCTAATTGTGAGAATAATTCAACTGATTTTAATTCAATCACTAATCTAGTATTTGAGAAGAAACATAATTTCATTATTTGGAACCAATATTTAACACTTGTTTAGAATTTGCATAATTTCAAAAGTAAAATCAATTTACTGTGAATGTGTGTACATTCACTTTTATTTAACTATTACTTCCATTTCATTCTTGTTTCATTCATCTTCCATATTTGGGAAAAAGCAAATTACATGACTTAGTCATACAGGATATTGTTTTTAATATAAACATTAATAAGTATCATAAAGCACAGATAAAGTAGTCATTAAGAGCTTTCTTCAACCTAGGCAACCACAAAATAGGGGCAGATTACTACAGCTCTATCTCAATGTTGGTGTGAGAACTGAAGGCATTTCAATGGAAAGTAAGTACTTTCTAACACAGGGTGCAGAATTTACCTACAATTGCCATGCATCTCACCATCTCCACAAGTGTCATCTATCTGTATAGCATTTTATCTTTTCCAAAGCCATTTTATATACCTCAACTCATTTGATCTTCATAACTATTCCAGAAGGTAGGCAGGACAAGTATGATCATTGCCATATTACGAAGGAGGAAACAAAGGCTCAGCATCTAATGGTTTTTCCCAAAGGTGAGACAACTGGTAGTAGAAATGGAATTAATTCCAGAGCTAATACCTTCTTATACCAATGTTTTCTTCTAGAACATCAAATCATTTGTACAAGTTCTCTTTAGTCTGGTTACTAAAGGTTACTGGCAATCACTAGTCAAGATTACCTTTATAGCCTGTAATCCCAGCACTTTGGGAGGCCGAGGCAGGTGGATCACAAGGTCAAGAGAGCAAGACCATCCTGGCTAACACGGTGAAACCCTGTCTCTACCAAAAATACAGAAAATTAGCCGGGTGAGGCCGGGCGCAATAGCTCACGCCTTTACTCCCAGCACTTTGGGAAGCTGAGGCGGGCGTATTACGAGGTCAGGAGATCGAGACCATCCTGGCCAACATG
Source organism: Homo sapiens (assembly GCF_000001405.40). Classification (NCBI taxonomy): domain Eukaryota; kingdom Metazoa; phylum Chordata; class Mammalia; order Primates; family Hominidae; genus Homo; species Homo sapiens. Next base: position 56,652,211 of record NC_000001.11, on the reverse strand, counting down.
GTGAAACCCCATCTCTACTACAATACAAAAAATTAGCAGGGCGTGGTGGTGCACGCCTGTAGTCCCAGCTAGTCGGGAGGCCGAGGCAGTGGAATCGCTTGAACCCAGGAGGCAGAGGTTGTAGTGAGCCGAGATCGCGCCACTGCACTCCAGACTGGTGACAGAGCAAGATTCTGTCTCCAAAAAAAAAAAAAAAAAAAAAATTAGCCAGGCGTGGTGGCAGGCGCCTGTAGTCTCAGCTACTGGGGAGGCTGAGGCAAGAGAATGGCGTGAACCCAGGAGGCGGAGCTTGCAGTGAGCTGAGATAGCACCACTGCACTCCAGCCTGGGCGACAGAGCCAGACTAGTCTCAAAAAAAAAAAAAAGATTACTTTCATATCAGTAAACACACTGAAATCACTAGTATTTCTAATAAACATGGGTTAAAACTGGTAGAATTCAGCACATTTTATAATAAGAAATGAAAGATTGAGGCATCCAAGTAAATGTTGGAAAAGTAAAAATATAAATTTTAATCATCTATATATGGCATTTCAAAAAACGTTATTTATCTCTAAATATGGACTGAAAGACATTTAAATCTTATTTTCTCAATTCTGATAAATATGAGCAGACATAGAAAATTATATCCTTGTAGGTTTGAAACTCAGAACATACTAGGCATTTTGACTTTACAGTCCATAGAGCAGAGACTTTGCAGTCTGAGAACCCTGAATTTGATTGCTAGCTCTACCACTTAATAGCACTGGAACTTTGGACAAGTTACTTAAAGTATCTGATTCTCAATTTCTTCATTTGTTAAATGGAGATAATACCAAACTTAGAGGATTACTCTGGGAATAAAAAAAAATCAAGTGCATATATCATACAGTGATTAGAATATAGTAACAACTTAATCAAATTGTACCTTTTATCACTGAAGTATTGAAAATATGTTTCCTTTTCCCCTGTTCTACATTACATCTACATTTCAGACTCAGGAACTCAAATTTTCATTAACCAGGATGAATAATTAAATATACCCATTTTTTTGGAGTTAAATCTTTTAAAAATCGGTTTAATGATAGCATTGTAAAGGACCTCACAGATTCGCTACTCCAGTGTTATCCTTTAGGAGGGGAAGAAAACAAGGCCCAGGGAGTTAAATTGTTCAGGGCTTCCACACTAGCACACAAGTCAAGCAAGGGACCAAAATACCACAGACATAACTTTTAGCTCCATCAATTGATGGGACAGTTGTGTGAAATTTGATTTATCATTTAGGACTTGATATTTACATTTCAAAATAAGGTAACACTTTTTGTTTGTTTGTTTAAGTTTTGGTTTATCCTTCCTGTTATCTCAAAAACAAGTGGGGAATTAGTAAAATATTTACTTAATTTATTGAAAGCAGTCTGTAGGCCAGTCATGTAACTATTTGAAAAATGGAAAGGGTAACTTCTTCGTGAGACTTTGCCGACAAGAAAGAACCTAAGTATCCCTTGGTGTACAATTCCAATGAAGAATATTTATTTCATAAACCACATATGGGTAAACATATTTCTGGAGTAAAATGTTGAAAAAAATTTGTTTAAATCATAAACCACATATATACTACTACTCATCTTGAAAATGCAGGCTTCTTTTTAAATAAATAATTAGCACTATAATTTTGTTTCTTCAATCAGTCTTTATATAACACAAACAACAGGACCATTCTTCTAGAATTTCTATCACCTTTAGAGAAGTTAGATAAGAAATGAACAAGTCTAATTACAAGAACTCTCTAACAGTTTTACCCTACCCAGAGTGAGAGCCTAAACAGTCAATATAGAGAAAAATTTTAAATAGATAAAAAGCATTACTTTTAAACTCTGTCAGCCCATATAATCTGTTTCCAAAAACAGTCCCTCAGCAACCTGATAATACAATAGACTAATGAAGGACAAAATTTAAAACATTTTAAATAAGGCTTTATTAACAAATACAAAGATTTCCATATACTTTTAAAAAACAAATTAAAACTACTGCTGTTAAAACTATTCCATTTTCAATTTTTGCTTTTTGTCCCTAACTTTGGTCCATAAATTGATATATCAACAACTGAAGTTAAAATTTCTTTATTTCTTTTTTTTTTTAAGACGGAGTCTCGCTCTGTCACCCAGGCTGGAGTGCAGTGGCACAATCTCGGCCCACTGCAACTTCCGCCTCCCGGGTCCAAGTGATTCTCCTGCCTCAGCTTCCCAAGTAGCTGGGATTACAGGCGCGCACCATCACAGCTGGCTAATTTTTGTATTTTTAGTAGAGATGAGGTTTCACCATGTTAGCCAGGTTGTTCTCAAACTCCTGACCTCAAGTGATCCACCTACCTCGGCCTCCCAAAGTGCTGGGATTACAGGCGTGAGCCGCCGTGCCTGGCCTAAAATTTCTAAATCTATAATTAGCATAACAGTCAAAGTTGGGCATGGTGGGACACATTTGTAATCCCAACACTGTGAGGCTGAGGCAGATAGACTGCTTAAGGCCACAAGTTTGAGAACAGCCTGGTCAACATAGTCCCTAAAAAAAACTAATTAATAAACAAATAAGAAAAAGGAAAAAAGTCAAGAGAGAAAGCACATAAAATGTTCCTTACTTCTCCATTTCCATGTTTTTATAACCATTTATCTAACTATCTATCTATCTATCTATCTTTCTATCAATCAATCAATCAATCAAAGACAGGGTCTCCCTATGCTGCCCAGGCTGGTCTTGAACCCCTGGGCTCAAGGGATCCTCCTGCCTTGGTCACCCAAAGTGCTAGGATTACAGGCATGGACCACCACACCTGGCCAAGCTTTTAAAATTACATCATCTCCTATTAGCTTTTTTAGTAGAAATTCATTTTGCAATGTCTAAAATCTACAACAATTAAAAATGCACCTGCATTCAACAAAAACTGCTGAGACAATTGGTTATCCACATGGAAAAAGTTAACCTTACAACCTCATCTCACACCATACATAAGAATTAACTCAAAATAGATCACATAGTTAAACATCAGGGCTAAAATAATAAAATATTTACAAGAAAACATAAAAGAAAATCTTTGAGACTTGGGCTAGGCAAAGATTTCTTGCCTATGACATCAAGAGCATAGTCCATAAAATAATTTTAAAAACTAATAAATTGGACCTCATGAAAATTCAAAACTTTTATACTTCAAAAGACACAAGAAAATGAAAAGACACAACAGACTGGAAGAAAATATTTGCAAAATATATCCATTAAAGGATCTGTATCCACAATTTACAAAGAATCCTCACAACTCAACTTATAAGATGACAAGTAACCCAATTAGAAAATAAGCAAGAGATATAAACAGACATTCCATCAATGAAAATACATAAATGACTAGTAATTACGTGAGACAATGTTCAACATCATTAGTCCTTAGGGAAACGCAAAATTAATGCCTCAATGAGATACTATTTCGCACCCACTAGAATGGCTATAATAAATCAGGCAGACAATAACAAATGTTGGCAAAGATACTCAGAAAAGGGAACTTTCATACATCTTTGATGGGAATGTTATAAAATGGTGTGACCATTTTGGGAAAGTGTTGCAGTTTCTCAAAAAGTAAAACATAAAACTACGATATGACCCAGCAATTCTACTTCTAGTTATTTACCCAAGGTGTATGAAAACATATGTCCACACAAAGACTTACATGTGAATATTCGTAGTGCCATTATTTATAATAGCCCAAAACTTGAAACCATGACCATCAACTGGTTTTGTATAGACAAAATGTGGCATATCCACACAATGGAATATTATTCAACTATAAAAAGGAACAAATTAATGGCACATGCTATGTCATGCATGAATCTCAAAAGCATTGTTAAAGAAGCTCGACACAAAAGATGACATATTGAACGATCACGTTTATGAAGAAGAGCCTAGAAAAAGCAAATTTATACAGGCAGAAAACAGATTAGTGATTTCCTGGGACTGAGGGTAGAAATGAGATTAACTGTGAATGGGTATAAAGAATCTTACTGTGGTGTCCTCAAATGTCCTAAAACCTATCTATAATGATGGTTGCAACATTTGGCAAAATTAGTAAAAATCACTGAATTGTACACTTAGAATGGATGAATTTCATATATAAAATATACCTAAATAAGTTGTTTTCTTTTCTTTTCTTTTTTTTTTTTTGAGATGGAGTCTTGCTCTGCCGCCCAAGCTGGAGTGCAGTGATGCAATCTTGGCTCACTGCAACCTCTGCCTCTCGGGTCCAAGTGATTCTCCTGCCTCAGACTCCTCAGTAGCTGGGATTACAGGCGCCTACCACCACGCCTGGCTAATTTTTGTATTTTTAGTAGACATGGGGTTTCGCCATGTTGGCCAGGCTGGTCTCAAACTCCTGACCTCAATTGAACCGCCCGCCTCAGCCTCCCAAAGTGCTGGGATTACAGGTGTGAGCCACAGTGCCCAACCATAAAGCTGTTTTCTAACAAAAAAAAAAAACATGACTTTTTGTTTCGCTTGTCCCTTGAAGAATTATATGAGTAACAATTGTACTAATCCTAATCTTGGATAGGAAACCATGGTATCACTTTTGAGAGGATCTAACACAGTGTTAGGAAAACTCCTTCAACTGGTTGTTCATTGGACAGAGGTTCTCCAGGAAAAGAATTTCTCATAAATCAAAGTTCTTTCTGTTTATATTTTAAGAAGCCAGTGCCTGGAAACAATTCAAAAGTACATACAAGAGATTTAAGTTGTCTTTGGCAATGGACTGATTGATCTGATGAGTATTCTACTCTACATTCAGATTACAGTATATGAACTTAAAAAGACAAGCAAAAACTTTTAACACAATATGAAAGGACATAGGGTTAAGTTATATAACTTTGTGTGTACATGTCCAAATGTCAAAGGCGCTGTTTGCTTGAGCAACTGTATAATGTTGTAACACAATAGTCCTTAATAATAATACTAAATGACAAGTAACATTACAGGCATTAATCCAATCCCTGGATTGTCCTGTATTCATCTTAAATACATTCTAACTATCCACTCTACTTATAAGGTCTTTCAAAAATAACCCAGGACTTTATAACCCTCACAGGACAGCAAAGAATTTTACAAACTTTTTAGGTCTTTGCAAAAATACCACCTTGTCTGACCACCTTATTGAAAACTGCCAACCTCACAAGACTCTCTATCTTCCCTTCCCTGATTCGTTTTTCTCAATAAAATTAAACATACCTTTTACATATATATTCTGATTACTGTCTGCCTTCTCCTACTAGAAAGCTAAACAAAAAGATCTGTTTTTTCCTTGCTGTATCCTCATTGCCTAGAACAGTGCCTACCACGTTGCAGGTGCTCAGCGTTTTTTGAACACATGAATGAGTATTAAATATGTGCAAGAAAACAGGAGCTGATTCTTACCAAAGGAATGAAAAATGAGTCTCTTCTACTCATTCAACAGCCTTGACTTGGGGTTAAAATATGAATTTTACAAGGAAATAGAGACCTCAGAATAAAATTTCCAGACTGCCTACCCAGCATTTCTTCAGCAAAGAGAAAAAATAAAGGTCAATATTTCACTTATAATTCTGGATTTGCAACAAAGTATTTTTAATAAACAACTGTCTCTATTCTGGAGAGAAGGCAGGTTAATTAAATCACATGTGACTAATTAACAAAAAAGAAAACAAATGAAAGTTCCATACTTAACTATTCTTACTAGTTACTTAACTCGAATAAAGTATAACATTTCAAAAGCAGCCTGTTTTTCTACATTCAAAAGGGGATCCTATCTCCATGAAGACAGACCTTAGCAGAATATGCCTTAGCAGTCCTGACCTCCTCAGCCTCAAATCCTCCAAACACCAAGGAAACTTTTTCTCTCCCTTACCCTAGAAGTCTTCCCATAGCCATTTTACAAACACAAACACCTTCAGACCTCTCTGTTTTAATTAACCTCTGACCCAATCCAGCTGCATTCCAGCGTTAAACAACACCCCAGGAAGAAAGACTCACAACCTCTGGCCCCTGGAGCATCCCCCAAACAGTCACCCCCAACAACCGAGAGTCCTGGAACGTGAAGGAATCTGGGGATGGCAGGGACCTCCCAGCAAGACCAGAATTGGAGGACATCTTAGACTTCACTCTGGTACTGACCATTTCTGTGTGACCTTGGGCTTGTTACTACATCTCTAGGGGTCCTAGTTTTCTCACCTTTAGGGTGAGGACAACATGTTGACCAAGTCACTGTGAGGATTCAATGAGATTCCATGTAAAGCACCTAACAGGGCACCCGGCACGAAACGGCGCCTCAGTCCTCAGTAGCGTGGATGATCCCCGCCCTAAGCCTACAGGCTCAGAGCTGGAAGGCGCCTCGCAGAACGAGTCCAGTTCTCCCGATTTTGCAGAGGAGGACACTGAGGTCCAGAGAACACAGAAGTGCCTTGCTCCGACCTCCAGAAAGGCAGATGGGCGCGGAACCTGGAACCCAGGACGCCCATCCTCAGCTCACACCCCCGCCCTCTTCCCTGGACCCTGTGGGGCCCGGGCGCCGGTGCCAGGCGAGGCGGTGCGCGCCACCCTCCCGGGGCCCCAGCTCCGCGCGACCCGGGACCGCTCCACCTGCCGCCGAGCCCCGCGCCCGCCGGAGGCCCGGGGCTCCCGCCTCTCCCCTCGGCCTCCCGCAAGTCAGGCAGCCCCGCACAGCGGTCCGGAGCGCGTACTCAACTCTTCACTTTGCCGAAGGTGCCGACGCCCAGCGTGTCGCCCAGCACGTAGTGTCCGATCTTCACCCGCCCGTCGTGCTTCTGCTTCTCAGCCATCTTCGGCGCGCGCGGCCTCGCTCCACCGCCTGCCGCTCCGCGTAGCCGCCGCCGCCGCCGCCTACCCACAGTGCAGCGGGCCCTGCGGGCGAGGGGGCGGACCCCGAGCCGCGAGGGGCGCGGGGCGGGCGCGGGGTCCCGGGAGAGGGCGCTGGGCGCTTCGGGCCCAGGTGGGAAGCAACGGGCGAGCGGCGGGCGGGGCGGGGCCGAGGGAGGGAGCGCGAGGCGCCCGCTCCCGGGAGTGAGAGGCTCCTGCGGCGGAACCCGAAGCAGCGACAGCGGGGGCCGGGGACGCGGGGCGCTGGGCGGGAGTGCGGGAGGGGCTGCGCCAGATGCGCGGGGTCCGAGTGAGGGGCGGAGGCGACAGGTGCTGCGAGGGGGGTAGGCGAGGGTGCCGAGGGAGGCAGGAGGCCCTTTCTGAGGAAAACCGAAGGGGGTGAAAATAGGGGGTGAGACTGGGGCCCGATCCTAGGGAATGGAAAGACTTGGAAGTCAAACTGGAAGAAGAGACGGGCCTCGCATGTCGGGAGCGAGGGGCTGTAAAAGGGAAGAATCGGGAGGGGAGACTGCGGGAAGGGCCCTGGCCAAAGGGGCAGTGGCAGGAGAGCCTCTAGGAAGCTCCTCAAGTCTCGTCTGAGGCTTTTGGATACAGGTCGCGGCACAGGGAGAATGCACGCAGCTCTGTGCTCTCTTGAATTGTCCTCCTCTACTTATTCTGTAATTCCCAATTATTTTGTCCTATAGATGGAAGAGACCCTCTCCGCCAGAGCTCTCAATTTTAACTAATTTGCCCACAGTTTTCCAAAAAATCTCAGTCACGGTATTTGCTCGAGTGTTTTTTAGCACATGCTTATATAAATATGTAGTTTTACCACGCGCTTATATAAACATATAGTACCGAAATGTGATACAGCTGTACAAGAAGGAAATGGGAAAGACGTGGAAAGGGAAACAATGTTCTGCCCACAGAAAGTAAAATACGTAAGCGACAGAGGAATTGTGAAGGGCGAGGCCAGTATAAGGTCACATATTAAAGGAAGAATAAATGTGATATAGAAGTGAAAAGAGTGGTAAGAGGAAATTAGAAGCATGATGCCTAGGCAGCGTGTTCAAAGACTGACCTCCCCACCCTCCCCCACAAAAAAAAAGAAAAAAGACTGGCAAAGAATTAGGTAATAAAGCGATTATCTCTGCCTCTCTTCCTTCTCTCCCGCCCTTCCTTCCCTCCTTCCTTCCTTCCTTTAATGTTGTCTCATTCTTTAATGTTGTTCTGTCTTTCAGTGATTAAAGTTTATTTGCTTCTCACCACACACACAAAAAGATTCGTATACAATATGTTTGTTAATTAGCTTGACTTATAGCCATTCCACAATCAATATATTTCAAAACATATACATACTAAATATATACAATTTTTATTTGCCAATGAAATAAAAAATTTTAAAACAGTAAAAAAAAATTCTGTTTGGGGATAAGTAATTAAGGATTAGTCAAACATTTATAGCACTGCATGCCAGTAGAGTTTCAAGGTCACATTCCTCAAACATGAAGTCTCTTGAACACTGTTTATATGTAAATTGAAATGTATTGATCAAAAAGAATAGGACACAACAAAACTTTGTTTTCTGATAAGTACTAAATATAGAAATTTCAAACATTCATTCTCATCCAAACATCAAGACAATCTGATGAGAGATGATCACAGCTTATAAATTATAGATATCACAGCTGTTAAACAGAGGCTATTTTTGTTCATTCTTCAGATCATCTTTCTTGCTGACAAGTATCATCTAGGAATCACTCTACCTCGCTGGCAATTTTGAGAAAATAGCCAGTTATTTTTGTGCTGAACTTTCATCTGGTTAAGGGTCATTCCTTCAGTAGTCAAGTGAGTAAGAAAAGACCTATTCTGCTTTTGAGGTATGAGATGTATATGTCTTCTGCTCTAATATCCCGTTAAAAGATGTTGAAAAGTCTTCACTTGAAGTTAGATGATTGCTTTCTTGAAGCTACATAAAGACTAACTGTAAATTGAGATTTCAAAGCATTTCGTACTGTCTTAACTATTTGTTGATAAATACTGTAAGTTAAATTATTATATACTTCATAACTATGATTCTTACATAGCTACTGTGGACTACCTTATAGTTTTGTTACTATGTGAAACATCTATGATACTTTGTTGATTAAGAAGTTCATTTAAACACAATTATTTAATTGTCATAAAAGAAAGATTATTATTCCCATTTTATAGATGATAAAACTTAGTTTTTCCCTTTCTGATTTGCCCAGGGCTAAAAAGTGGCAGAGTCAGAACTCATATCCAGTTCTGACTTGTCCTTCAGTCTGCCTACTATACCGCAGCTGCCTATGCCAAAAGAAAGTATGGTGCTCTAAGAAAGTTAAAAATTGTCACAGTTGTGGTTCCATTTTCATATTTTTATTATTTCTTGGGCAGTCCAATAATATATCCTATAAATTTGTAAGTATTTAAACTACTTTTTGTTGTTTTTCTGACTTTTATTTAGAGGAAAGGTTGAATGGTAAGTGGGTAAGAAGGACAACTCTTGGTGGCAGTACTCAGCCCTCTGTTGTCCTGGACACTTCAAGATAAGGTTCCATATTTGCCTCTTCCTATTCAGCAGTAGAAAACTCGACAGTTAATCAGAGTAGATCTCCTTAAGGGTCATGCCTCTTGGAGGTCTCACCCCTAAAGATGACCTGGTAAATGCAATGTTCCCATTTTATTATCTTCCAATGAAGGTTTCACGCCGCTATTGTTTAGTACCAATCTCTAAGACCAGTGCCCCAGGGAGGTGTTCAGTTCTTAGCGCTGGTCCAACTATTGCTGCTTTACCCTCCTGCTTCTGAAACTTTGGGGTTGTTTTACCTTCAAATATTCTAAAATAAGTCCTGAGTAGGACATTAATGCAAGACCACTAAACTAATATACTGTACTAGACACCATTGGTATTATCAGTAACCAATTATTTCAAGTCTTTGCTCACAGTCACCTTCTTGGTGAACCCTACCCTGGCCACCCTATTTAAGTTGCAGTTTCTTTTTTTTTTTTTTTTTTGTAATTTTTTTTAAATTTTTTTTTTTTTTTTTTTTTTTTTTTAGAAGCAGGGTCTCGCCATGTTACCCAGGCTGGTCTCAAACTCCTGGACTCAAGTGATTGTCCTGCCTCAGCCTCTCAAAGTACTGAGATTATGGGCGTGAGCCACCGCACCAGGCCTAAATTGCAGTTTTATCTCACTCATGCTCTCTGCCCTGCACTCTCATCCCCTGACCCTCCTCAACTTTTTTACATAGCACTAGCCATGTAACATACTATTTAATTTATGTGCTTATTATATTTTTGTCTGTTTCTCCCAATTAGAATCTAAACTTCACAAAAGAAGAGAGGCCTTTTTTCTCTATTTTGTTCACTGATGTATCCTTAGCTCCCGGGACAATGCCTGACAAAATATAGATATCCAAGCAGATTCAGAATGTGGCACCTGAAGTTTATTCAGTGTGGGGGAATCTCTTTAAGGGAAAAAAAAAATGCAAAATTGGGTATGAAAGTGAGAATTTGAAGTGAAAAACAACTCTCTACAAATTTATAAAAGCTGACAAATGCCACAAACATCCCCAAATCCAGACAAATAACAATATTTTTATAAATTAATTATCTAACATACCTCTATAATACCTGTTTTCTACATTTTCTGGCTGTATACTCTTTGATTACCTCTTTATATTTTGTAAATTTTTAAATAGAATAGAAAGATAATTCTGACATTAAGCATGATTCATTAAGTTTTTCATCACATGTTTCTTTTTAGGTTTTCCATTGTACATGTTTAATATAGCTAATATAGAATTTATCAATTCTATTATCATATACATTATACATACATATAGATAGATACATATATGTATTTATATTTACATATTATATATGCAAATGATATGTTCATACCCCACTTGCTGTTTCTGGGGCCTAGTGGAACCTGGTATATCATTCCAAAAATATTTGCTAAATTGAATTTTAGAAAGGGTTAGTTACTAAGCTAGAGAATCAAGTAACAACAATACAGGGAAGAGTGCAGTTTTATTTTATGTATACACATATTAAAGGCAAAGCATAATTTTACATCTCAGCACAGCAGTCATTAGTGAGGTTAGAGAGGCATGAGTTAGCACCTTTGAAGTCTATAGATTCATGATATAGGGCTTCTATGGCTGTCTCCAATTTAAAATAAAAAATTTGGACACTCAATGAATAATAAAGGATGTTTATGGTATTTTATAGGAAGTACAAGCTCAATAATTACATTTTTAAAATTTTGTGTGAAAAACTTCAAACATACACAAAAGTAGAGTAACATAAATAACCTTAGCATCTGTGATGATCAACAATTGTCATCATTTACCCATCTATCTCTGCACTTTTAAAATTTATTTTCAGGAGTATGTTAAAGTAAATAAGCAGATTATTTCACTGGCAAATACTTCAGTATATAGGTCTAACAGATAAGCACTTCTTTTTAACACAACCATACTACTACTAACATATCTAACAAAATTAGCACTAATTCCTTACTGTTATGAAATACCCACTCTGTGGTGAATATCCCTTGATTGTCTCAGGAATGTAGTTTTACAGTTGGTTTATGCTCATCAGGATCAAAAAAGTCACACTTACCATTTTGTCAATACATCTCTTTTAATATGTAGTGTTTTCCCTTCCCACTCTTTTTTAAAAATGTCATCTATTAGTTGAAACATTGAATTATTTTAACTGTTGAATATCCCGATCTTGTTGGATTTATCTCAATAATTATTCATGATCACAAGAGGTAGTAGAGAAAGCTCAGTATTTGGAATAAAAAATCATGGCCTGGTGCAATGGCTCACACCTGAAATCCCAACACTTTGGGAGGCCGAGGCAGGTGGATCTCTTGAGTCCAGGAGTTCGAAACCCGCCTGAGCAACATGGTGAAAATGTGTCTGTACAAAAAAATAACTGGACTGGTGGAGTGCGCCTGTAGTCCCAGCTACTAGGGAGGCTGAGGTGGGAGGATCACCTGAGCCTGGGAGGCAGAGATTGCAGTAAGCCAAGATCACAGCACTGCATTTCAGCCTGGGCAACTGAGCAAGACCTTGTCTCAAAATTATATGTATAATTAAATATGTGTGTATACATGTATATACATATATGTATGTATGTATGTATATATGTACGTATATATGTGTATATATACGTACATATACTCTCTCTATATATTATCTATGTGTATATATTTGTATATGTACATGTACATATATATCCTGAGTTCATGTTCCATCTTAGCCTCTTAGCAATGTGTCCTTAAACAGATCATTTCACTTCTTATTGGTAAAACTAATAGTGTTGAACTAGACTATAAAGTACTAAAGTACCTGTCAGGTGTTGGGACATTCAACTCCCAAACTCCACTCCCTGTTTTAGAGTTAAACAATAGAGGGAAAAAGATAGAGTAATTACTGTAAAGTATTGTAGGTCACCATCCAAGGTATCTCAACAAACTGATCTTGCCACATTATTTTCCCTATACACAGTTTATCTCCTAATATTTATCATCATTGGTTTGTAAGTTTAAGAGAATACTATTATGGGCCTAGCCCCCTTCAAAGAGATAAGTAGATACACGTGACAATACTTGAAACCCTTTAAAGGAAATGTAATAAATAATTTTGAGATGTTATTTTTAGCAGGTACCCTAGTAACAAATATTATACTTAATCCATTTTCATTTTGTGGCTGAGTACATTTCTAAATTGCTTCAATATGAGTCAACATTATAATTTTCAGTGCAGCTGAGAAAAAATAAAACGTTTTGGATCAGACTTCCTTCATGAGCAAATGCATTAATTGGAATAACAAAGGTTGTTTGCTTTGCTGTATAAACATTATGGATCTGACAGCACTTTTAGAATCTTGCTTTCATGTGTGTGTTGACAGTTTGTCTGAAAAAAAGCTCAAACACACTTTTAGATCAGTTAAATCAATTATTTCCCTCTTGGCATGGATTCAGTGACTATCTGTACTGAATACTTTTGAACTGGTGAAGTTGGAGTAAGGAGATACCAGTGTCACCTTGAGTTGATTATCATCTCTGTTATGGCTGTCCGTTGGAATTAAAACACCCCTTGACAAAACTGTGTAATATACCATTATTTGAAGCCTTTTATAATACTCTTTTAATGACCTCAAGTGGGTGTTAATGCTTTGGCTGTTGGCACAATCCCGTTAACATTAACTATTAAGCTTTGACATGATTAATGCAAACTTAAGATAAATAGGTAATTTCAAGTTCTAAATGCTCTATAAATAATAAACTAATTCTCCTTTCAAGAATAAGGACCTTAAAAAAATCAGATAATTCAATTTCTTTTTTTAATTTGTATATAGGCTTAGACTAGGTGCCCTTTCAAGACTCTGGGGTTTCAATTCTGTAAAATTCTGTTAATAGTTTTAAAAGCATTAAGTAATAAACTTTTCACCTTCTACTTTTAAAATATTGAAATGTTTTTAAATTGTTACACAACTAGCTATTCCACAGACAAAAGATTTCTAGATTCTCGGAGTATATCATTGCTTTGTTCTAAGTACATTCATTCATTGAACAAAGATATATTGAATACCTACTGAGTGGCACACTACTCTTCTAGGCACTGGGAATGTAGCAATGAACAAAACAGATAGTATAACCTATCTTATTTACTACTTATAATGGTAGTTTTTGTTAAAGAAAATAATAATTCATGACACTTATTAAAGACAGTAAGGCAGACTTTATTTGGGACTATTGTGAAAGGTATAGGACCTCCTGCAATGAGGTTTTACAGTAGGAGACAGAGATTGGGCTCAACTCCAAATACAACAAAGAAAAGTAGAGATTTATAGCCAAGGAGGAGGGACAAGATGTGTTGATGAATGGAAAATTACTAGGAGGGTGGGGTAATTATTTGCTAAACGGACCTAACAGGATTCTTGCTGAAGGCAGGCCAGGGTGATCAGCTATTACCCAGGGAATGGTGTGGGGGTGAGAAATTTGGTTAGACATCAAGAGTGATCAGGTAGTGAGGGTGGGGAATTTTGGCTAAATTGGCTTAGCAGAATTCTTGCTAAAACTGGGCTCTTGAAGACATGCCCAAGGACAGGACCTAGTGGGTCAGAGGAGTCTGACTAGAGTTAGGTCGAGAAAAAAGTGTTTTGTTGCATTCTACTGTAAGAACCAGAAAATAAGGAGTCAAATAAATATATAATGTAAGGTTAGTGTTAAGTGCTGTGAAGGAAAAGCAGAATAAATGAATACAGAGATGAAAGTGGGGATGGGGGAGGGCAGGCATTTTATATAGGTCATCAAAAAGTCTTTCTGAGAATGTAGCATCTAAGAATTATGTGCAGGAAGGAGCCATTGAAATAGTTGGGATAAGAGCATTCCAGGCAGAAGGAATAGCAAGTACAGCAGTCCTGAGACAGTGCTAAAGGCATATTGGTGGAATAACAAGAAGGTTGATGTGTCCAGAGTGGTGTGGACAAGGAGGAGGATGAAAGGGTTTGTGGTTAGAATGCCTATAGCTAGATTATACTGGGTAAGCTGTATTAAAACCTTTAGATTTTTAAAAAAGTGTAGTCAAGTATATTCTGATAATTTTTGAACAAGAGAGTGACACGATATGAATTATAAACTTAAAGATGGCTCTAGATGGTTGTGTGGAAGAGAGTCTAAGGGGTCAAAAGTGTAAACAAAAAAACTAATTTAGAGACTATTGAAGTAGACCAGATGAATGCTGATAGTAGCTTATACTAGGATGGTAGCAGTGAAAATGGTGAGAGGCATTCAGATTTGGCATGAAGATTTTGAAGTTAACATCAAGAAATTTTGGTGATGGTTAGATGAAAAGTGTGCAAAGAATCAAAAAAGAGAAATCAAAGACTTGGATTTTTGGCCCATACAATGAGATGAATAAGAGTGCCATAGACTGAAGTGCCAAAGACTTTATGAGAAATAAGCTGGGGGAAAAGAAGGGAGGTTGCGGGACAAAATTCTGATCTGACCATGCGAAGTTTGAGATGCTTAATAGCAATCCCAAAGGACACACCAAATAGGTAGTTTGTGACCAGAGTGAAGAGGCCCAGACTCAAAAATGTAACTTTCAAAATCATCAGCATTCAGGGAAGAGGCCCAAATTCAAAATGTAAGTTTCAAAATCATTAGCGTATATCC
Organism: Homo sapiens; assembly: GCF_000001405.40. NCBI lineage: Eukaryota > Metazoa > Chordata > Mammalia > Primates > Hominidae > Homo > Homo sapiens. The sequence continues at coordinate 56,637,123 of NC_000001.11, read as the reverse complement.
CACAGCACTGGAGATCCCTTAGGAAGTGAATGTAGACAGCAAAAGGAAGAGACTCCAGGGCTGAACCATCCCAGACTTAGAGACCTATAAAAGGAAGAGGATTGGCCGGTCTCGGTGGCTCACTTCTGTAATCCCAGCACTTTAGGAGGCCGAGGCGAGCGGATCATGAAGTCAGGAGATCGAGAACATCCTGGCTGGCTAACACGGTGAAACCCCGTCTCTACTAAAAATACAAAAAATCAGCCGGGCGTGGTGGCGGGCGCCAGTAGTCCCAGCTACTTGGGAGGCTGAGGCAGGAGAATGGCGTTAACCTGGGAGCTGGAGCTTGCAGTGAGCCAGGATGGCGCCACTGCACTCCAGCCTGGGCGACAGAGCGAGACTCTGGCTCAAAAAAAAAAAAAAAAAAAAAAAAAAAAAAGGAAGAGGATCCTGAAAAGAAATATCCACTAAGCCAAGAGGAAACTTAAGAGAATATTTTCAGCTATTGTAAGACATTATTATCAACTGTATCCAGTGCTACTCAAAGGTCAAGGAAGATGTGGGTGAAGAGTTAACTACCGGATATGATGACTGTGACAAGTGACTTTGTAGTGGAGTGATGGAGATGAAAGTCAGAGTGAAGTGAGTTTATGAAAAAATTGAAGTGAAGAAATAGAGAAAGTGGTTCTATACAATTCTTTTAAGTTTTGCTATGAGGGGAATAGCAGCAAATGGAGGATATGGAAACAAGGGTAGATTTTTTAAGATGGGGAAAAGTATAGCATGTTTGTATGCTACTTGTATGATCCATAGAAAAGGACGAACTGATGTGTGAGAGAGAATGAATAACTGAAGAACATTTAGCAGTGAATCCAAATGACAGTCTTTCAGGACCTTTCACATCAGTTTTCCAGGAACTTGTACTCTAATGGAAAACATACACACTTCAGAAATAAATTTCAGCTGGGCACGGTAGCTCACGCACGTAATCCTAGAGACTTGGGAGGTTGAGGCAGGAGGACCACTTGAGGCCTGGAGTTTGAGACCAGGCTGGGCAACAAAGTGAGGCTAGGACTATAGTCCCAGCAACTTGGGAGGCTGAGGTGGAGAGATCCCTTGAGCCCAGGAGTTCCAGGCTGCAGTGAGCTATGATTGTGCCACAGAACTCCAGCCTGAGTGACAGAGTGAGACCCTGTTTCCAAAAAAAAAAAAATCTAATAAATTTCAAAATGGTGCAAGAAGTGATATGACAAAGTTACATATAGGATTGACTAAAGAGTACTGAGCAGTAAGTTAAACGCTCTTTTATTTGACAAGGGGAAAAATGATGAGGACCTGAACCACTGGTAGTCCCAGTAAAGAAGGAAGGGAAAGGATGGATTTAAGGATTGTTTAGGAGAAAGAATAAATAGGATTTAGCAATTGCTTAGTTATTAATTAGAAGAACAATGAAGCAATTTGGGATGACTTACAGATTTCTGGAATGATACAGAAATCTTGTGGATGGATTGATCATTCAAAAACAGTTCGTAGCCTATCACCTCCTTCCTTAAAAGTGTTCAATAATTTAACATAACCTAAAGATTAGTGTTTAAAACTCTTTAGCTTAGTGTTCACAGCCCCCAAAAAGTCTGCCTTTTTGGTATGCTCTTTACCTTCTGTATTAGTCTACTCTCACACTGCTAATGAAGACATACCTGAGATGGGGTAATTTATAAAGGAAAGAGGTTTAATGGACTCACAGTTCCATGTGACTGGAGAGGCCTCACAATCATGGTGAAAGGCAAAGGAGGAGCGAAGTCATGTTTTGCATGGCGGCAGTTAAGAGAGAGAATTTGCAGGAGAACTCCCCTTTATAAAACCATCGGATTTCATGAGACTTATTCACTATCACAAGAACAGCATGAGAAAGAGCCATTTTCATGATTCAATTACCTCCCACCAGGTCCTCCCCATGACACATAGGAATTATGGCAGCTACAATTTGAGCTCTCCTGTGGGGACACAGCCAAACCATATCACCTTCCTAATGTACTTCCTTGAAACTCAAGGAAGTAGTGGGTTCCAGTTTGAAAATTACTGGTCTACAGAGAAAAATCAAAGTCCTTAAGTCTGGATTCAAGGCTCTCTATGATCTGGTCCCTACCAACCTGGTTTCTTGTCTCATCTTTGTTATCCAAAGCTCTAGTCATATCAAGTTTCTGTCAGTCCTGTGTATACACCAAGTTGGAGCAGGCCACTGCACCTTTACTCCCACTCTTATTGTCTGGTACTTCCTTCATCCTTGATATTCTCCATTACAATCTGCCTAACAAATACCTCCACATCTTTAAAAACTCACCTCCTCTATGAAGCATTTCCACAACCTCCCACACACATTTGACCTCCGTATCTTTAATAATGCTGTGCACCTTGGGTATTTAATTAAATCCATCATCGTACTTATCTGTTTACATGTCTTGTCCACCATTTGACTATCAATCCCTTGAGAGCAAGCACTGTGAACATAGTAGGCACTTAATGCATGTTAGTTAAATTAATGAGTAATAACTGAATGAAATCTCAGTTCAGAAATATCTTTTTTTTCTTTTCTTTGAAAGAGTCTTGCTCTGTCACCCAGGCTGCAGTGCAGTGGTGCAATCTGGGCTCAGTTCAACCTCCGCCTCCTAGGCTCAGGTGATTCTCCCATCTCAGCCTCCACAGTAGCTGGGACCACAGGCAAGCACCACCACACTCGGCTAATTTTTTGTATTTTTAGTAGAAACAGGGTTTCACCATGTTGGCCATGGTTGTCTCGAACTCCTGACCTCTAGTGATCCACCCACCTCAGCCTCCCAAACTGCTGGGATTACAGATGTGAGCCACTGTGCTCAGCCTCAGAAATAACTTTATCTTATTTTACCTATCCCTTCCCAGGTAGCACTGAAGGCTTTTTCCTATGTATTGTTCTGAGGCCCTATATCACCTCTGTTCTAGCACTATATTGTGGTATGACATTGTATTTGTTCCATGACATTATTTTTCTTCCTTTTTTTTTTTTTTTTTTTTTGGTGTATGTGTCCCCTACCTAAAATATTCAAGGGCATGGATTTTATCCTGTTTATCTTTATATCCCCACCACTTGGGTACCCAGTAAGTGTTTTAAGAAAGTATTATTTAATAATTAAAGAGCCACCTTACCCTTTAAAGTCATACATCATGTAATTATGCCCAGCTTTTTCCACTTTTGTGAAGAATTTTCTAATCATTCCTGGCTTGAGTTAATCTTTCTCTCTGGAATTCTATTACCTGTAGTTTTCTCTCTTTTGAGTAATTATCACTCTCTGGAACTGGAACAGTTCTTGATTTAGAGTGACTATAAAAGCCCAAGGACAAGAAAACTTTTATTCTTCGCTATATTGCTATACAGTTGTGGCTCTCAACTCTCCTTTTTTGTGTACTGCTATACTTGAGTAGCACACAGCCATACCAATTTCCAGGGTGCTCAGATTCATTCTACCCTTTCCTACTGGAAGAGGTAAAAAAGCAACACCCTAGAATCTGATATGATTTATTTTATCAAAATAAACAATAAGCTACTGCTTTTGCACCATTACTTGCTTCTATTTATAACAACCTCTTGCCCCACTGAGAATGACAACGTTATAGTCATTCTTTAAGTAGTGATGAATGAATTTAAAAAAGGAAGGAATGCTATTTCTATTGTCACGTCCACAGGGAAGTCAGACCATGCCTTTTATGCAAAACTGGTTTGCTCATTTAATATATTACTATTTATGGCCAGGCATAATTTATTTGTGTGGGCTAGAGGAACACAATATTGTCCTTCATAAACTAAATCCCAAATAAAATAATAACTTTACTTTGAAAAATTATGCTTTTTTTCCCAGACCATGCTAGCCTTGGCGACAAATGGAAATGTTGCAGGAACTGAATTTTTCCTGATGTTTTACAAAATTCTGCTCTCTGTTCTCTATGGAACCCAAGTGACCCATACTCATTTCCATTTTCCAGTGTTCCTTGGCTCTGCTCATCCATCCAGCGCTCATTGCAAGTCCTAAACTTTAGGAGAAGGGATTTTGTTTTCTCTTCACATTGCCTACAACCCTTTACCAATTGAAAAGATGATTTGGGGCCAGGCGTGATGACTCATACCTGCAATCCCAGCACTTTGGGGGGCCGAGGCAGGTGGATGGCTTAAGGTCAGGAATTTGAGACCAGCCTGGGCAACACGGTGAAACCCCTTCTCTATGAAAAATAACAAAACATTTTAAATAATTTAAAAAAAAAAGATTATTTTATTCCTTTTTACAGCCCTTTACGAAGCAGGATCTGCAACAAATTTCTCAGGAAACGGGCTGAGCAACACATGAGGGATATCACCCACAAACAGTGATGAGTAGTTATTGTTGCAAACCATAATTGAGTTGCCCGAGTCTAGTGTGCCTTTCTTCTTTCTTTTGCCACTTGGGTAATTCTCACCTTCTCAGGGAACATCTTCCACTTTCCCCCAAATTGATGGCAGCTTTTTTTTCCCCCCAGTTTGGTTTTCCTCTTTGTATCATCATCCTAGTGCCCCAGAAAGCTTCTCCTAAAGGGGGCAGGGAGAGAACAACGCATGTTTCAAGGAGGTCCCCATGCAAATTTGACACTTTGGTACCCTTGCCAGTGTTCCAAAGTGACCATGCAGATGGCATTGCCACCATAATCCTGTTCTTTTTTTGAGACAGAGTCTTTTTTTGTTGCCCAGGCTGGAGTGTAGTGGCATGATCTCAGCTCACTGCAACCTCCACCTCCCGGGTTCAAGCGATTCTTGTGCCTCAGCCTCCATTACAGGTATGTACCTCCATGCCCAGCTAATTTTTTGTATTTTTACCAGAGATGAAGTTTCACCACATAGGCCTGACTAGTCTCAAACTCCTGGGCTCAAGTGATCTGCCCAGTTCAGCCTCCCAAAGTGCTGGGATTACAGGCACAAGCCACCGCACCCAGCCCATAATCCTGTTCTTATGTTCTTTCATTATTTATTCACTTGATTACTAACATAGATTACGTAATAAATTGTGTAGAATTTCAGGAACACTTAGGGAAGTAATAAAAATTATAATGTATACTGAGATGCTTATCATGCCATCTCTCATGAGTTTTTCCAGGAAAAAAAAATAGAGGTCAAAGCTATCTTCAACTGTATTCTCATAAGTGGGGCTTTAAAATGCTCCCATGAAGAATAAAAAGAAATCATCCTATCTTCCTCTATTTTTAAAATGTATATTTAAAGGCTTTTCTGATATTTCTCAAATGTTTTAGGAACAATAAAAAAATAAATTGAGAGATATTCTCTTTTTTTGTACTGATTCTAAGTCACTTTATAAAACATCTACTTCTTTTAATATGCTTTATTCAGTTAATTATAATTTGGTTTGCTATAAAGTTTACTCATTGGGGAAATATTTTTTAGTAAACTAAATGCTAGTTTTTCAGAATGTAATTCAAGCCTCAAGAATTTTTTGGCCGGGCGCAGTGGCTCACACCTGTAATCCCAGCACTTTGGGAGGCCGAGGTGGGTGGATCACGAGGTCAGGAGATGGAGACCATCCTGGCTAAGATGGTAAAACCTCGTCTCTACTAAAAATATGAAAAAAAAAATTAGCCAGGTGTGGTGGTGGGCGCCTGTAGTCCCAGCTACTCGGGAGGCTGAGGCAGGAGAATGGTGTGAACCTGGGAGGTGGAGCTTGCAGTGAGCCGAGATCGTGCCACTGCACTCCAGCCTGGGCGACTCAGCAAGACTTTTTCTCAAAAAAAAAAAAAAAAAAGAGAATTTTTTATTGTCTAACATGCTAGATACAAAAGAATTATCCTATGAACAACACCCTCAAGGCTTTTACCTTCTCAAGGAGAAGACTTGTACCCATGAAATAATTTTAAAACAAGTTACTTACTTTTTAATTCATGAATTTAAATGGCACCTTATTATATTCCTTTCACCAAGCTCTCTTTGGTTATATAAGAAAGAAGTTAACTGGATTTTTGCTACCTATTTTCATTGACTATTACAAAACACTTGGAGTCATAGACTTATAAAATAAGAGTGTGATTATACACCCTTTATGCCCTTTTCTTTACTACCCCATTCTAAAATCTAATGGGATCTTTATGATGCCCACAGGGCAAAAGCTAAGTCATGTGGTAATTTCTTAATGAAAACAACCTGGAAGACAAGGAGGAATTTTTTTTCTTTGAGATAGAATTAATCAAAACTGTCTTTAACAAATGTCATGTTTCTAAGTCCCAACATTGGACTATGTTCCTTGAATCCAAACTCAGCTTCCATTCTGAATTATTGCTGGAAAGGCTCTCAGCATTGGTTGTATAGACACCTGTTGTTAACTCTTATCACTTGCCTCTTACTTTGCCTCTTAGTTTACTGATTAAGTCTAATCTGCATTCTTGATACTTAGCCCTGTTTTCCATTCCTACTTTATTCAACATCTGAAAAGCTCAACAACTTCTTGATCATCTCCATCAGTCCAAAACTCATTCTATGAAATTTGGACTCACCCTAGGAAACTCTAGGCTTTCACCTGAAGTTGGCATAATATCAGATAAACCAGGAACATACCACTCTGTCAAGTTTCTTGGTCACAACAAGTAATATCCTTAACCTGGTCATCACCTAGCATTTATCGACATTGAAAAGAGAGATTGCTCTTTCCTCTTTCTTGAAAGAGGGTGCCATAAACACTTATTCTTGGACTCTATTTAAAGACAAATCTATTGAGAGGTATCAGATGAAGATATATGTAGATTAGTTGTAGAGGGAATGAATAACTTTATGAATTGGGGAAATGAATTCCTAGTTTGGTTAAAAGCATATTCTATACCTTATTTCCTGTTCAATAAATGGAGCATTTTCGTGGAAAAAAGCCAAAAGTTTTATGAATAGTCCCTTACTTTTTCCCATCTGTTAGAAACATTTTTCAAATATAAATTAAAAATGAATCCCTACAAGAATTTGCATGTTCTCACTCCTTTGCTGTTGGGAGCTCTATATTATTTGTGTCACGAGTCTTAGCCTAGATTGTATCTGATGGAATCCTTCCACTAAATGCAATAATCAGATAAAAAGAACTGATCTTACTATATTCCAAGTGCTTTTCTGCACTAAACAAAAATTTTGAGAATTCAGATGTTAACTATTTTAAATCATTTTACTATTTCTTCCATAATATGTCTAAGATTCTAAATTTAAATTTTCTGGATATTCATTACAAATCTGATATTTCATGAAACAAGACAGCTTTTTTGTCAATTTTTGGATAATTCATCTAGTCTCTGTACTGTTATTCCATTTTGACCTATAAGGAAAAAAAAACCAACATCACTTAAACACTTCACTAAGAAATCACATCCATTTGAGTCCTCAGAAGTTTTGTCATGAACAATTAAGTTTCAAGATCTCTTTTCCTTTTGTATAACCACATTAAAATAATTTTTTCTACTTTTTTTTTTGGAGACAGAGTCTTGCTCTGTCGCCCAGCCTGGAGTACAGTGGCGGGATCTCTGCTCACTGCAAGCTCTGCCTTCCAGGTTCATGCCATTCTCCTGCCTCAGCCTCCCAAGTAGCTGGGACTACAGGCACCCACCACCACACCTGGCTAATTTTTTTTTTCATATTTTTAGTAGAGACGAGGTTTTACCATCTTAGCCAGGATGGTCTCCATCTCCTGACCTTGTGATCCACCCGCCTCAGCCTCCCAAAGTGCTGGGATTACAGGCGTGAACCACCGCGCCCGGCCAATATTTTCTACTTTTGACACATGCTTAGTCTATCTATAACTACAGAATTGTAAAATCTTGGTTTGGAGGAGCAAGGGGAATTGTAGAGATGATATCACTATACTATTTCTGGATGACTGGAAAGATGCGATTTTGTATGAACTTCATCTTAAAGTACTTCATGACTTCAGTGTGAAATTTAAATTATAAAAAATACGCAGCTAAGCCAAGTGAGTTTAGCAATAATTTTATAGAAATTGAAATGTTTATTATATGTGTTGAATGGTAATAGAAAACAGTTTGCATTCTACTATTTCCATTTTTTAAAAATTATCAGCTTTTTCATTCGTTTCTATTGTTATCTACTATTTACTGTGAAGGCACTGCATTATACAACCTAATTGAAATGTTTTTAACAGTGTTAGTATAGTAACAGTCCTCCTGACAGTCTCATAACTACAGGATGTCAATCTCTGAAGGTATTCCCAGTAAGGAAATCACAAAAGAAATAAATGTAGAAAGAACAAATTCAAGAACTGATTTTCATCAGTAGTATAGTAAATGAATAGTGAGTACTCCAGTGATATTTCCTAAACATATAAAAATTGTTTGCACAGATCTCTGTCTTATACACACACATACACACACAAACACACACACACACAGCTTAGCAGGAAAATACTTCAGTATGTAACAGAGAATGTTCAACATTGTTTCTTTAAAATCAAATAATCTCACTGAGGGAAGGAAAAGTGAAAAGTCTCAGGTAGAAAAAGAAAATGGGGAGGAAAAAACCAATACAGTATGTTAGTTCTTCCATGTTATATAATATAAATAATTTCAGCACTGAAAAAGGAATAGTAAGAACAATATATTCTGGGTTATGTATGCATGCATTCATGTAGTCATTCAACAAACATTCATTGAGTGCCCACTCTGTGCTAAGGATTTTACTCGGCCTTGGGTATATGAAGAAAAAAAAAAGCTTTATTTTTATCTCAGAAATGAAAAATCAGAAAGCATAATGACAAGTAAAATGATAGAGGTAAGCACAAGGTATGAAAGAAGCCCGGAAGAGGCATAAATACTCTTTTGTTTTATGCTATCTTATGTTTAATTAATGTATTAGATTTCTTTCTCTAAATTTCCACTCTGGCTCCCAAGCAATCATGTTCTTTGCAAGGAGTTGTCCAAAGAAATATTTAAAATTTCCTTAAATTTACAATGCCATTTTAGTATTTAACTCTTTTTGCAACTCAGGCACATGATTTAGCTTTTTAATCTGTAGTCATAGTAGATTGTGTTATTTTTCAGCTAATATTTGCTCTCCTACATCCTCACCCACCCCATGGAAAGAATATATGTCACTTCATCAACAAAAGGCTTGGCCATGTGACTTTCTTTAGCCAATGGAATGTCAGTAGATGTAATTTACCACATCCTTGCAGAAGTTTTAGATGTGCCTGCATGAATTGGCTTGGTCTCTTGAGCTTCTGATCTCTACCAAAAGAAGCGCTTTCCTCAGGCAGTCCAGGACTGCAAAAACACATACAGCCCAGCAAAGCTGTAGCCAACGCAAAGGCCTGTAAGCATGAAATAAATCTTTATTATTGTAAGCCACTGACGTCTTGGGGTTGTTTCTTACTATAGCAAACATTGACTAATACAAGTGTTGACTTTATAAGCACACTGTAAGAAAAGCCATAAGCAATATAAACAAAAGGCAGGATGTTTGAATTTACTTTCAAAACAAAAAGATGCTAATGTTATACACAGATTGTGGAATATGCTACAATTGTGTCATCCTTAACACAGCTACTTTTTCACCTTTTAGTAATAGAGTGTATGCATAAGATGCGAATATTTAGGAGCCAGACAGTAACCTATAGGTATGTCTATGTGTCTATATATTTGTGTGATTAATAGCTGTGGATCTGTCATGATTCTTCTTACATTATAAAATTTAAAAGGACAGTGAGTCATTTTTATAATAAAATCTATTGCCATCATTCTAATTCAACCCAAATAACTTAGATGGGACAGAAACTCTGTTTTACCCTAATAAAATAGAACTTAAGGCTTAGTAAATGCTTCAGACAGTTTTCTCTATGTACCAGTGACCACAAAAAAAAAAAAAATAAGTATTGTATGACTACAATGTTACATAACTATATACCACGGATATGTGCGATAATAAAAAGAGCAAGAATACCAAACATGAGTAATTTCCCTCATTTGTAGCAAGATTCTGGTTCAAAAACTGAGAAATATTTCTTGTTCAATATTGTACATTAGTAATGGATCCCAAAACTTTAAAAGCATCTATGACTAACATTTATCCTGCATATGCTTCTGCTATTCTCACTAGACCATATTTGCAATATTATAGGAAGTTGGCTATCTCAAAGTAGACTGTTCTAAAATTAATTATAATGTTGAAGATCTGTGTGTGTGAGGGCAGAAAACATGTAACTGTATAAACCAAAATGATGTTATGCCATTCCCAGGGTGAATAGTTTTATGTACTCTAAAATCATGCAAGAAAGCCTGCTTTTATAAATTGAGAAATGTTTTATAAGCACCAGTGGGATACAAACTTCTTTTCACAAAGACATATATTGACTCATTCCTCAAGTATCTGGTATTTGTGATCTAAATGAAAAGTATTTTTGCAGCTGATTTTTTGCAATAGCTTTTCATTGTACCCTGCAGATGTATTAATGTGTTTTTATCATGTTGACATCTTATTATAAACAAATCCATTTTATGTTAAACTTAGGTGTTTCTCCCATGCATGTATTAAGAGGAAGTTGGGGACTAATTTGCATCAAGGAAGCATCTCTAACAGTTCCTCCAGGAGTCCCTGTAGACTTTTACCAGCTTGAGACTGAATATTTGAGGGGGAGGGGGTCAGGATACAATCATCTAAAATGCAAACAAAAAAAGTGTTTTCCTAAAGTTCTCCGAATTAAAAAGAAAAGAATATGTTTGGGATACAATACACAAATTTATTTGAATTCCTTTGCCAATTCCAAGTGAATCCACAGCCAAACGAATGAAACTTATGGTTGCACAGCTGGAGGCTTATTACTTCTTCATTTTATAAAAACAAAACCACAAGTGATTGTGAACCAGTTGGTCTGAATTTATACTTATAGCAAATAAGTATAAATTACTTCCTCTGCTTTCTCAAGGTGCTGAATGGAAGCATTTGTCATAAATTCATCATAGACTGAATGTATGAGACTGAATATTAAGACTGAAAATACCCTTTTAAGAAGTCATTTTTGCCCATTCATTCTGTTTTGTTCCTTTGTCCTTCTGCTTCTTTATTTATTCAGTCATTTCGCAATAAATATTTATTGAGTTCTTCCCGTGAAGTAGGCACTGTGCTAAATTTTGGGGATACAGTGGTAAATAAAGACAATTTATTTTGGAGGAGCTCCAAAGACAATTCCAGATCTTTCTCAGATTTACTGATCCATTTATTCCTGTTTATTTCCAACACGTAATACAATGAAAACAGTCAAACAGACATGAATTTAATTTGCATTTCATCTTGGGCAAGATGTTTAAATTCTCAGAACCTTAGCTTTCATATCTCCCATCTACCTCAAAGAATGATGGAAAGTGAATTACAAAGATAACCTATAAAACTGCTTGACATTTTGTTCTCCACCCCCACCCCAAATATCACTGTTCCCTACATATGTTGGGTCCTAGAGGTATAAATTGATAGGATACATTTTCTAGCACTGTGCTTAGTTGTAGCTAAGAATATAGAGAAAAAACAAATGATGTTCCTGCCTTCTAGAAGATTACATTTAGAATAATAATGACTAACATTTGATATATACCAATGACTGTTCTGAGCACTATAAATGGATGAACTCACATATCCTCACAATAATGCATGAGAAAGGAATTGTAGGCATCATGTTTTCTGAATGGGGAAGCAGAAGCACAGAAAGTTAACTTGGCCGAAGTCACACAAATAGTGAGTAGCAAGGTAGAATTCAAACCTAGGTGCCTGTCTCTGAAACTTGTTTTCTTAATCACCATACCTCACTGCCTCTCAAGAGGAGGCTATTAAGTACAAGAAAATTACTGTAACTGTTTTATGAGTAGTTTAAGCAGTAAGTGAATGAGAGAAGAGAAATCAGGGGATTTGGTCCAGAACCTGAAAAACTAATCACATTTTAATAGAAAGAAATGTAATGATGAAGAGAGATACTATAGGGCATTTTGGGAAAGTTTTATCACTTTAGAAAATGATTCTTTCATACATCTAACCCAAATATATTATGTTGGACCTCAAATCATTCCATTTAGTGGAGATACGGAACATGTATTTAGAAAAGTAACTAAAAAAATTATTGTTTCTGATTTATAAAAGTAACACATGCTAATAATAGGAAACCTAACACAAATAGCAAAGTATAAAGCAAAACATTTTTAAAAACCACTCCTAGTTTCATCATCCAGAAAAGATAATAACTTTAATATTTAGATATTGTATCAGTCTGTTTTCACACTGCCATAAAGATACTACCCGAGACTGAGTAATTTATGAAAGAAAAAGGTATAATTGACTTACAGTTCCAAATGGATGGGGAGGCCTCAGGAAACTTACAATCATGGTGAAAGGCAAAGGGGAAGCAAGGCATGTCTCACATGGCAGCAGGAGAGCAAGAGAGAGCTCAGCAGAAACTGCCAGACACTTACCAAACAATCAGATCTTGTGAGAACTCTCTCACTATTACAAGAACAGCATGGAAGAAACAGCCCCCATGATCCAATCACCTTCCACCAGGTCTCTCCCTCAACATGTGGGGATTGATGAGATTTGGGTGGGGACACAGCCAAACCATATTATTTTGCCCCTGGCCCCTCCCAAATCTCATGGTTTTTTTTTCACATTTGAAAACCAATCATGCCTTCCCAACAGTCCCCCAAAGTCTTAACTCGTTCTAGCATTAACTCAAAAGTTCAAGTCCAGCCAGGCACAGTGGCTCACACCTGTTATTCCAGCAGTTTGGGAGGCCAAGGTGGGCAGATCACCTGAGGTCAGGAGTTCGAAACCAGCCTGGCCAACATGGTGAAACCTCGTCTCTACTAAAGATACAAAAATTAGGCAGGCATGGTGGCAGGCGCCTGTTTTCTCAGCTACTTGGGAGGCAGAGGCAGGAGGCTCATTTGAACCTGGGAGGCAGAGGTTGCAGTGAGCCGAGATTGTGCCATTGCACTCCAGCCTGGGCAACAAGAGTGAAACTCCATCTCAAAAAAAAAAAAAAAGTTCAAGTCCAAAGTCTCATCTGAGGCAAGGCAAGTGTCTTTCACCTATGAATCTGTAAAATCAAAGGCAAATTAGTTATTCCAAGATGGGTGGTACAGGCTTTGGGTAAATGTTCCCATTCCAAATGGGAGAAATTGGCTAAAACAAAGGGTCCACAGGGCCCATGCAAGTCCAAAGCCCACTAGGGCAGTCAGTAAAACTTAAAGCTCCAAAATAATCTCCTTTGACTCCAAGTCTCACATCCAAGTCACACTGATGCAAGGGGTGGGCTCCCAAGGCCTTGAGCAGCTCAGCCCCTGTGGCTTTGCAGGGTTCACGCCCTGCAGCAGCTTTCATGAGCTGGCATTGTGTGCCCGTGGCTTTTCCAGGCGCATAGTGCAAGCTGTCTGTGGATCTACCATCTTAGGGTCTGGAAGACAGTGGCCCTCTTCTCATAGCTCCACTAGGCACTGCCCCAGTGGGGACTCTGTGTGGGGGCTCCAAACCCACCTTTATCCTTTTCACTGCCCTAGCAGAAGTTCTTCATGAGGACTCTGCCTCTGTTGCAGACTTCTGCCCGGACATCCAGGTGTTTCCCTACCTCCTCTGAAATCTAGGCACAGGTTCCCAAAGCTCAGCTCTTATCTTCTGCTCACCTGCAGGCCCAACACCACATGGAAGCCATCAAGACTTAGGGCTTGCACCCTCTGAAGCAATGGCCTGAGATGTACCTTGGCCCCTTTTAGCCAGAGCTGGAGCTGGAGCATGAGATGCAGGGCACCAAGTCCTAAAGCTGTTCCGGTGAGAAAACCATTTTTCCCATGGGGCTTGTGATGGCAGGGGCTGCCATGAAGATATCTGACATGCCCTGGAGACATTTTCCCCATTGTCCAGGCTACCAACATTTGGCTAGTCATTACTTAGGCAAATTTCTGTGGCTAGCTTGAATTTCTCCCTAGAAAATGGGTTTTTCTCTTCTGTCACATGGTCAGGATGCAAATTTTTCAAACTTTTATGCTCTGCTTCCCTTTTAAACCTAAGTTTCTCGTCTCCATCTGAGACCACCTCAGCCTGGACTTCATTGTCCATATTTCTATCAGCATTTTGGTCAAAACCATTCCACAAGTCTCTGGGACTTTCTAGACTTCCAAACATCTTCCTATCTTTTTCAGAGGCTTCCAAACTGTTCCTACCTCTGCCTGTTACCCAGTTCCAAAGCCACTTGCATATTTTCACGTTATCTTTATAGCAATGCCCCACTCTTTGCGGTACACATTTCCTGTATTCATCACTTTCACACTGCTATAAAGAATAACTGAGACTGGGTAATTTATGAAGGAAAGATGTTTAATTGACTCACAGTTCTGCATGGCTGGGGAGGCCTCAGGAAACTTACAATCATGGTGGGAGGCAAAGGAGAAGCAAGGCACATTTTACATGGTGGCAGGAGAGAGAGAGAGTGTGCAGGGGAAACTGCCAGACACTTATGAAACAACCAGATCTCATGAGTCTCATGAGAATGCCCTCATTATAATGAGAACAGCATGGGGGAAACTGTCCCCATGATCCAATCACCTGCCTTGACACATGGGAATTGCAACTGGAGATGAGATTTGGGTAGGGACACAGCCAAACCATAACAGATATATTTCCTTTAATTCTCTTTTCTGTGCATATTGTATTAAATATATTTTTAAATAAAAATTGACAAGGGACTTATATGTAGTTTTCAGTTCTGCTCTTTTCACCGGATTTTTTTTTTTTTTTTTTTGAGACGGAGTCTCACTCTGTCGCCCAGGATGGCGTGCAGTGGCACAATCTCAGCTCACTGCAACCTCCATCTCCCGGGTTCAAGTGATTATCCTGCCTCAGCCTCTTGAGTAGCTGGGATTACAGGCACTCGCCACCATGGCTGGCTAATTTTTGTATTTTTAGTAGAGACAGGGTTTCACCATGTTCGTGGCGATCTCCTGACCTCAAGTGATCTGTCCGCCTCGGCCTTCCAAAGTGCTGGGATTACAGGTGTGAGCCCCCATGACTGAACTCACCTGATGTTTTATCCAAAGCAACAAATACTACTTTTTCATTAATGTCCCAACAATCCCTATAGTCTGTTTCTGCTTTATTTTCTAGTATGTGGTATTTAGTAGCTAATGTTTACTAACACTTATCACCACCTACATGCTGCACTTTTTAAAATCTTTGTCTATCTCCTCTCCCACTCCTCTATACACATACAAGAAAATAATATCCATGAAGACAAGAATATATTTATTTTGTTCTCTACTGTATCCCCAGTGCCTAAAATAGTGCGGAGCCCATGGCTGGTACTCTATTTGTTGCATGAACAATCTCACAGAGGAAGGTATAATGGCACCATCACAGTAGATATCTTAATTTAAAAGTAGATTAGATAATGTTAAGTACTACATTGAATGAATGTGAATAATATTAATTACATAGTCAATCCTTTTCATGTCTTACATTAAGTACCCATTCCTAGTTATGTAAGCTAACATGTACAGGTAATGAAATGGACAATTCCTCACGAATAATGAATTAGAGGCTTGCAGCTTATACATAGTTTTGTTCTCAAAATTCTCTTTTTTCCAGACGTTTCTCTTATCTCATCCTCTTTGTCCTGTCTTTTCCTTGTGCTTCATGTATTCCCTATAATCCTGTGTTCCAGCTTCACTGTTTTTTAAAAATTTGCAGTTTGTCATACATACATACTTACTCTTTGAACTTGATTTCACTTTTTTTTTTTCAGACATGGTCTCGCTTTGTCACCCAGGCTGGAGTGCAGTGGCACAATCTTGGCTCACTGCAGTCTCCACCTCCTGGGCTTGAGGGATCCTCCTGCCTCAGCCTGCTGAGTAGCTGGGACCACAGGTTTGTGCCACCATGCCTGGCTAATTTTTTTTGCATTTTTATAGATGCGGGGTTTCACCATGTGGCCCAAGCTGGTCTCGAAGTCCTGAGCTCAAGCAATCTGTTCTCCTTGACCTCCTAAAGTGCTGGGATTACAGGCATAAGCCATTGTGCCTGGCCTAAACTTGATTTCACTTTGATTGATGTTTTGTTCATTTGTTCAGCTACATCTTATAATACATACCTTCAATGAAATTCAGCAATTATCTACATTACCTAGATGTTAGGTAGTAGGGAATGTACCTATACGAACTCCCATCTTCTATATAATTAAAACCTGGATCATTGGAAATATTTGTATTCAAAAATCCTGTCTCTTATCTTTATCAATAATGTTTGTATTTTCTCTATTCTTTAACATATATACATAACAAGATGCATATAAAAGTTACATTTTTAACTCCACTCGATGCTACAAAATTATTTAAATAAGATAATGCATACGAAAGTGCTTGGTTGTGAACCAACTGGTATAGGTCAGGAAAAAGAAACTTAAAAAATAGAAAAATTTTAAAAAGAAAGTGCTTGGTAAGCTTTCAAGCACTGTGCATACATTATCCCAATGCAAGCATCTCAAACTAGTATAGTATGTCACTTATACATACCATTCCATGTGTGAAAATCCTTCATGTGCTAGAAGGCCATCCTCAAATCCTCATTCCAATTTTCAGTCTGAATAAACCTAGTTTATTTAAAATTTCCTCCTACAGTCTCTTTCTCAATCTCTTTTTTTAATCCCTTAATGATTTTTGTATTTTGTGACTTTTCTCTGATCTATTATTTAGCTATCTTTGTTACTATGATGATTTCACAAGTGACCCTCACTTTATTAAATAAAGCTATGCGAAAATAGAATCTGTATAAATTGTGTCATATTACAAATCCACTAAGAGAGCTACAGTTCCTTTTTTTTGTTCTTGAGACAGGGTCTCACTCTGTCACCTAGGCTGGAATGCCATGGTGCGATCACAGCTCACTGCAGCCTCGACCTCCCCAGCTCAAAGAATTCTCCCACCTTAGTCTCCTGAGTAGCTGAGACCACAGGCATGCACCACCATGCCCGGTTAATTTTTAAATTTTGTTATAGGGATGAGTTCTCCTTATGTTACCCAGGCTTGTCTCAAACACCTGGCTCAAGCGATCCTCCTGCCTTGGCCTCCCAAACTGCTAGGAGTACAGGTGTGAGCCACTGTGGCCAGTCCCTAGTGTTTCTTAAAGATCCTTTGTAGAGAGGAAAAGGGCATTAGAAAATAACTTATGTTTATGAGTTCGTGCTCTACTGCTGATCTGTAATATGACCTTG
Source organism: Homo sapiens (assembly GCF_000001405.40). Classification (NCBI taxonomy): domain Eukaryota; kingdom Metazoa; phylum Chordata; class Mammalia; order Primates; family Hominidae; genus Homo; species Homo sapiens. The sequence goes on along the minus strand of NC_000001.11, from coordinate 56,619,859 downwards.
TTACTGAGCTTCTAAGCCCTAGTGTCCCATCTGTAAAGTAGAGGCTGTCAACCCCTCCTGCAGTGGTTCCCAATGGTTGGGGTCATGGGGCACACTTAAAAATGTGCAGGAGTGTTTTCAGTCCCCACAATAACTGTGAGTGGTTGTTGCTATTTAATGAGGAGACTGAGTTTAAGGGGAGTGAAGGGCAGGGACATAAATACCCTGCAATGCCTGGAGCAGTCCCTCTTAACTAGCAATTGTCCTGCCACAAAATGTTGGTAGTGATGTTATTGATAAACAGATAAAGCAATACCTTTGATGCCATTTCTACAGCTACCTGACCCCCGACCTCTGGAAGGAGACTGTATTTACCAAGTCTCCCGATCAGGAATTCACTGACCACCTCGTCAAGACCCACACCAGAGTCTCCATGCAGCGGACTCAGGCTCCAGCTGTGGCTACAACATAGGGTTTTTATACAAGAAAAATAAAGTGAATTAAGCGTAAAAAAAAAAAAAAAGAAAATTTCTCCTGATAAACTAGTGAGCACTAGATAGCAGAACGGGAGCACTTTATGATTTAAAAACAAAAAAAAAGCTGGGCATGGTGGCTCACACTTGTAATTCCAGCACTTTGGGAGGCTGAAATGGGAGGATCACTTGAACCCAGGTGTTCAAGACCAGCTGTCTCTATAACAAAATGGAAAAAAAATAGCTGGACCTGGTGAGGTGTGCCTGTATGTCCCAGCTACTTGGGAGGCCAAGGCAGGAGGATCGCTTGAGCCCAAGAAGTCAAGGCTGCAGTGAGCTGTTGGGATTGCACCACTGCACTCCAGCCTTGGTGACAGAGTGAGACCCTGTCTAAAAAAAAAAAAAAAAAAAAAAACAGGGAAAAAAAGAAAGAAAAAAAAACGAAAACCCATTCAGAATCCCTGAGACTTTTCTGCCCCGCTAAGATAATAATTTTAAAATTGTTTCCTGCATGTCTGTCCAAATAAAATTTGAAATTCTCCTGTTATGTAGAAAATATCTTTAAAATCTCTGATCAGCTCACCAGCCAGATAAGGAGACATCTGTTGATTACTTTAGAAATAGATGAGCTGATTTTCATTTTGTCTGTGTTTCTAAAGTATTACTTGGCTTTAGTCAAATCAGGTAAGCCATATTCCTAGTTGTAAATTGTATCAGATGTTTCTTTGGACGTAGACGTTCTTTGTCTCTTTGAAGGCCTAAGTTAAAAGAACTTTTCTGCTGGCTCTTCCTTACACCTGTCTCCTCCCATCTCAGGGCTTCCTTTGCCTTGCAGCCCCTTCTAGGCACTACTAGGGGCGGGCATCCAGACATGGGCAACCTGGAAGCCCAACAGGTGAACTTATGATGTTAGAGATCACAGCTAATGGATAACATCTTCCTCTTTTCTACTGCCTCCCCCACTAAGTGGGCAGTCCTGAGATACAGTGTATTCTGATTCTTAGGAGCACGGCACTTGGCAGCAACTCACACATGACATCCTCACTCTGACTCTTCCTCCTTCCTTCTTTCACTGTCTTTGTCCTTAACTCTTCTTCCATGGGATTGTACTCCCTAATAAAATAAAAGAATATAAACTCACTGCTTCAGACCTGCTTTTGGAAGATCTCAGCTAAGACATAAGTGAAGTGGAGAACTGAAACCATCATTTGGTTATTTCAGACCAATCTCTTACGGAGATCAATTTGGATTAATTTACAACACAGGAAGTTAAGTACACAAGAACAATCATATTGCCAATTGGCAAGTAAAATGAGCTGTCAGCACTGTCCAACCATCATACCACATTTCTCCTATAAGCTCACTTTCCTATTCATGGAGATATCTGTTTCATAGAATATCTATCTCCATGCCTATTACTTTCAACTGACAACCTCTCTTCAAATTAAATTGAGAAAGTAGAAACCATCAGATGGGCACAGTTTCATAATCTTATCATTAGATCCATGAACCCATCTGCATCTGCCCTCACCTCTTCCTTCTTTCCTGTTTCATCTGATGATGGGTTCTTTCTCCTACGGTTGGCCAGTTCTTCAATATAGATCTAATTCCCTTTGCTCTCCTCAGGGGGTTAGTTCCTTGTTGTTTTCCACTTTTTCTTCCACCCTCTCACTTCACTGAATTGTTCCCATCTGTATTCAAAATATTCTCTCATCTTTAAAAGACCTCCCTTCATCTCACATTCTCCTCCAGCTATTTCTACACTTCTGTATTTCCTATCCCAGTTAAGCTTCTCTGAAGGAAAAGCTGTAATCCATGTTCTTACCTTCTATTTACTCCTCAACCCACTTTAATTAGGCTTCTGCCTCCATCACTTCAGTGAAACTGCCCTTATTGAAGTCACTAATGACTTCTCTGTTGCTCAATCTAATGATCATTTTTTATGGCTTCATTTTAACTCAGCCTCAAGCAGCAATCAACACAATGAAACATTCTTTCCTTTGTATAGGCCCTTTCCATGCCTTCCTTTTAACCCTGCTCACGTGCTGTTATTTCTCCATCTCCTTTGTGTGCTCCTCCTTTTCTTTCTGTTGCTTCTGTTGTCAGTCCTGTAGGCTTGGTCTAGACCTCTCCTGTCCTCATTACATACTTAGGCATTCTCATATACACCCATGACTCAAATTACACCATTTGCAGATGACTCACAAATGTATAGCAACAACCGAGACCTCTCCCCTGAACTTTATTTCCATGTAGTGCTTACTAACATATCTTTGAATATCAAATGCACCTCAGTCTCAGCATGTCTAAAAAGCCAACTCAGCCCGGGCAACATAGGGAGACCCTGTCTCTACAAAAATAAAAAAATTAGCTGGGCGTGGTGGCACGCGCCTGTAATCCTAGCTACACCAGAGGCTGAGGTGGGAGGATCGCTTGAGCCTGGGAAGTCAGGGCTGCAGTGAGCCGTGATCACACCACTGCACTCCAGCCAGGGTGACAGAGTGAGACCCTATCTCAAAAGATTAAAAAAAACAGAACAACAAAACATTAAAAAGCCAACTCGGCCAGCCATGGTGGCTCATGCCTATAATCTCGGCACTTTGGGAGGCCAAGGTGGCCACATGACCTGAGGTTAGGAGTTCTAGACCAGCCTAGCCAACATGGTGAAACCCCATCTCTCTTTTTTTTATTTTATTTATTTACTTATTTATTTATTTATTTATTTATTTATTGAGACAGAGTTTCTCTCTTGTTGCCTAGGCTGGAGTGCAATGGCACATTCTCAGCTCACTGCAACCTCCGCCTCCCGGGTTCAAGTGTTTCTCCTGCCTCAGCCAACAAGTAGCTGGGATTACAGGCATGCACCACCACTCCTGGCTAGTTTTGTACTTTTAGTAGAGACAGGGTTTCTCCATGTTGGTCAGGCTGGTCTCGAACTCCCGAACTCAGGTGATCCGCCTGCCTTGGCCTTCCAAAGTGCTGGGATTACAGGCGTGAGCCAGTGCGCCCGGCCCGTGAAACCCCATCTCTACTAAAAATACAAAAATTAGCAGGGCATGGTGGTGCACACCTGTAATCCCAACTATTCGAGAGGCTGAGGCAGGAGAATCACTTGAACTTGGGAGGCGGAGGTTGGAGTGAGCCAAGATATTGCCATTGCACACCAGCCTGGGCAACAGAGTGAGACGCCGTCTCAAAAAATAAATAAATAAAAATAATAAAAAGCCAACTCACTATTTCCACCCCTGCCCCACACCAACTCTGCCCCAACCTGGCTGTCTTTCAGTTTTTCCTGTTTTAGTGATTGGAATCACTGTCCATCAACTCATAAAAGAAAAAACATGATTAAGGGAAACACTCCCTTAAACAATCCATCGCTAGGTTCTATCTTTTTACATATATTAAATCTATTAAAAATATTTACTCAATCTTTCTACTTTGCCACAACCACTGCCACCAGAGTATGTCAGTATCTCTTGCCTGGACTACTCCAATTTTTGTTCATCCAGCAGCTAGAATGATGTTTCCAATCCCCAAATCTCATTATTTCACCCAGTTGCTTAAACTCCTTAAATGGTTTCTATATATTTTAGAATAAAATAAGAAATCCTTAACATAGCCTATAAACCCTGCCTGTTTGCTACCAACTGATTCTTGCTCTCCAACTGATTTTCTTTTGCTCTTTGTGTTTTCAACACATTGACTTTCTTTTATTTCCTTTCCATGCACATTCCTACCACAGTATCTTAGGAAATGCCTTTTCCTCTGCCTAGAATGCCTTTTCTCTAGTTAGTGCCTCTTCAGTCTTCCAATTAGTATTATATACTCTCTCCTATGTTTTTTGTTTTGCTTTGTTTTTGTCTTTTTCTTTGTTTGTTTTTGAGACAGGGTTTTTCTCCTGTTGCCCAGGCTGGAGTGCAATGGCACGACTTTGGCTCACTGCAAACTCTGCCTCCTGGGTTCAAGCAATTCTCCTGCCTCAACCTCCCAAGTAGCTGGGATTATAGGTGTGCACCACCATCCCCAGCTAATTTTGTATTTTTAGTAGAGACGGGGTTTCACTATGTTGATCAGGCTGGTCTCTAACTCCTGACCTTCAGTGATCCACCTGCCTCGGCCTCCCAAAGTGCTGGGATTACAGGTATGAGCCACTGTGCCTGGCCTCTCCTATATTCTAAGATACAAATAATATGTGTAAGAGCATGTCCAAAGAGTTCACAGGACTTTGAATTAAAGCAGCGGCTTCAGGGATTAAAAGTCAGAACTGAATTTGAAACATTCCTACAAGGTAAAATTACTTTAATTGTATGTCTATTTTGATGGTGGCAGGGAATAAGAGGAAGGTTGGAGGTAATCTCCAAATGTTTGAGTTGTTTGACTTAATATCTAGAGGTTCCTTGAAGGAAGATGACAAATTAAAGAGAAGAAATAGGTTTACAAGAATGACTACCAGTTAATATCTAGCAAAATTATACATATATATTAGTTATTTGACTTAGCAATTACACTTCCAAGGCTCTGATATGGCTTGGCTCTGTCCTCACTGAAATCTCATCTCGAATTCCTATATGTTGTGGGAGGGACCTGGTGGTAGGTAATTGAATCATGGGGGCAGGTCTTTCCCATGCTGTTCTCATGTTAGTGAGTAAGTCTTATGAGATCTGATGGTTCCATAAGGGGGAGTTTCCCTGCCCAAGTTCACTCTTTGCCTGCTGCCATCCATGTAAGATGTGACTTCCTCCTCCTTGCCTTCTGCTGTGATTGTGAGGCTTCCCCAGCCACTTGGAACTATGAGTTCTCCATTAAACCTCTTTCCTTTGCAAATTGCCCAGTGTTGGGTATGTCTTTATCAGCCACGTGAAAACGGACTAATACAGTAAATTGGTACCAGTAGAGTGAGGCACTGCTGAAAAGATACTCAAAAATGTGGAAGAAACTTTGGAGCTGGGTAACAGGCGAGACTGGGACAGTTTGGAGGGCTCAGAAAAAGACAGGAAAATGTGGGAAAGTCTGAAACTTTCTATAGAATTATTGAATGACTTTGACCAAAATGCTGATAATGATATGGACAATAAAGTCCAGGCTGAGGTGGTCTCAGATGGAGATGAGGAACTTGTTGGGAACTGGAGCGAAGGTGACTCTTGTTATGTTTTAAGCAGAGACTTGCGGCATTTTGCCCTGCCCTAGAGATTTGTGGAACTTTGAAATTGAGAGAGATAATTTAGGGTATGTTGCAGAAGAAATTTCTTTTTAAAAATATTTTGTTATACTTTAAGTTCCAGGGTCCAGGTGCACAACGTGCAGGTTTGTTACATATGTATACATGTGCCATACTGGTGTGCTGCACCCATTAACTCGTCATTTACATTAGGTATTTCTCCTCATGCTATCCCTCCCCCATTCCCCCACCCCATGACAGGCCCTGGTGTGTGATGCTTTCCGCCCTGTGTCCAAGTGTTCTCATTGTTCAATTCCCACATGTGAGTGAGAACACGCAGTGTTCGGTTTTCTGTCCTTGTGATAGTTTGCTCAAATGATGGTTTCCAGCTTCATCCATGTCCCTACAAAGGACATGAACTCATCCTTTTTTATGGCTGCATAGTATTCCATGGTGTATATGTGCCACATTTTCTTAATCCAGTCTATCATTGATGGACATTTGGGTTGGTTCCAAGTCTTTGCTATTGTGAATAGTGCTGCAATAAACATATGTGTGCATGTGTCTTTTTAGTAGCATGATTTATAACACCCAGTAATGGGATCACTGGGTCAAATGGTATTTCTAGTTCTAGATCCTTGAGGAATCGCCACACTGTCTTCCACAATGGTTGAACTAGTTTACACTCCCACCAACAGTATAAAAGCATTCCTATTTCTCCACATCCTCTCCAGCACCTGTTGTTTCCTGACTTTTTAATGATCACCATTCTAACTGGTGTGAAATGGTACCTCATTGTGGTTTTCATTTGCATTTCTCTGATGACCAGTGATGATGAGCATTTTTTCATCTGTCTGTTGGCTGCATAAATGTCTTCTTGTGAGAAGTGTCTGTTCATATCCTTTGCCCACTTTTTGATGGGGTTGTTTGACTTTTTCTTGTAAATTTGTTTAACTTCTTTGTAGATTCTGGATATTAGCCCTTTGTCAGATGGGCAGATTGCAAAAATTTTCTCCCATTCTGTAAGTTGCCTGTTCACTCTTATGGTAGTTTCTTTTGCTGTGCAGAAGCTCTTTAGTTTAATTAGATCCCATTTGTCAATTTTGGCTTTTGTTGCCATTGCTTTTGGTGTTTTAGTCATGAAGTCCTTGCCCATGTCTGTGTCCTGAAGGTATTGCCTAGGTTTTCTTCCAGGATTTTTATAGTTTTAGGTTTAATATTTAAGTCTTTAATCTATCTTGAATTAATTTTTGTATAAGATGTAAGGAAGGGATTCAGTTTCAGCTTTCTACCTATTGCTAGACAGTTTTCCCAGCACCATTTATTAAATAGGGAATCCTTTCCCCATTTCTTGTTTTTGTCAGGTTTGTCAAAGAACAGATGGTTGTAGATGTGTGGTGTTATTTCTGAGGGCTCTGTTCTGTTCCATTGGTCTATATCTCTGTTTTGGTACCAGAACCATGCTGTTTTGGTTACTGTAGCTTTGTAGTATAGTCTGAAGCCAGGTAGCATGATGCCTCCAGCTTTGTTCTATTTGGTTAGGATTGTCTTGGCAATGCAGGCTCTTTTTTGGTTCCATTTGAACTTTAAGGTAGTTTTTTCCAATTCTGTGAAGAAAGTCATTGGTAGCTTGATGTGGATGGCATTGAATCTATAAATTTACTTGGGCAGTATGGCCGTTTTCACGATATTGATTCTTCCTATCCATGAGCATGGAATGTTCTTCCATTCGTTTGTGTCCTCTTTTATTTCATTGAGCAGTGGTTTGTAGTTCTCCTTGAAGAGGTCCTTCACATCCCTTATAAGTTGGATTGCTAGGTATTTTATTCTCTTTGAAGCAATTGTGAATGGGTGTTCGCTCATGATTTGGCTCGCTGTTTATCTGTTATTGGTGTATAAGAATGCTTGTGATTTTTGCACATTGATTTTGTACCCTGAGACTTTGCTGAAGTTGCTTATCAGCTTAAGGAGATTTTGGGCTGAGATGATGGGGTTTTCTAAATATACAATCATGTCATCTGCAAACAGGGACAATTTGACTTCCTCTTTTCCTAATTGAATACCCTTTATTTCTTTCTCTTGCCTGACTGCCCCGGCCAGAATTTCCAAAATTATATTGAATAGGAGTGGTGAGAGAGGGAATCCCTGTCTTGTGCCAGTTTTCAAAGGGAATGCTTCCAGTTTTTGCTCATTCAGTATGATATTGGCTGTAAGTTTGTCATAAATAGCTCTTATTATTTTGAGATATGTTCCATCAATACCTAGTTTATTGAGAGTTTTTAGCATGAAGGGCTATTGAATTTTGTCGAATGCCTTTTCTGCATCTATTGAGATAATCATGTGGTTTTTGTCTTTGGTTCTGTTTATGTGATTATGTTTATTGATTTGTGTATGTTGAACCAGCCTTGCATCCCAGGGATGAAGCCAACTTGATCTTGGTGGATAAGCTTTTTGATGTGTCGCTGGATTCGGCTTGCCAGTATTTTAAGGAGGATTTTCGCACTGATGTTCATCAGGGATATTGGTCTAAAATTCTCTTTTTTTGTTGTGTTTCTGCCAGGCTTTGGTATCAGGATGATGCTGGCCTCATAAAATGAGCTGGGGAGGATTCCCTGTTTTTCTATTGATTGGAATAGTTTCAGAAGGAATGGTACCAGCTCCTCTTTGTACCTCTGGTAGAATTTGGCTGTGAATCCATCTGGTCCTGGACTTTTTTTCGTTGGTAGGCTATTAATTATTGCCTCAATTTCAGAGCCTGTTATTGGTCTATTCAGGGATTCAACTTCTTCCTGGTTTAGTCTTGGGAGACTGTATGTGTCCAGGAATTTATCCATTTCTTCTAGATTTTCTAGTTTATTTGCATAGAGGTGTTTATAGTATAGTTTGTATTTCTGTGGGATCAGTGGTGATATCCCTTTTATCATTTTCTATTGCGTCTATTTGATGCTTCTCTCTTTTCTTTATTAGTCTTTCTAGCAGTCTATCAATTTTGTTGATCTTTTCAAAAAACCAGCTCCTGGATTCATTGATTTTTTGAAGGGATTTTTGTGTTTCTATCTCCTTCAGTTCTGCTCTGATCTTAGTTATTTCTTGCCTTCTGCTAGCTTTTGAATTTGTTTGCTCTCGCTTCTCCAGTTCTTTTAATTGTGATGTTAGGATGTCAGTTTTAGATCTTTCCCACTTTCTCTTGTGGGCATTTAGTGCTATAAATTTCCCTCTACACACTGCTTTGAATGTGTCCCAGCGATTCCGGTACATTGTGTCTTTGTTCTCATTGGTTTCAAAGAACATCTTTGTTCTGCCAGTAGTCATTCACGAGCACGTTGTTCAGTTTCCGTGTAGTTGTGTGGTGTTGAGTGAGTTTCTTAATCCTGAGTTCTAATTTGTTTGCACTGTGGTCTGACAGACAGTTTGTTTTGATTTCTGCTGTTTTACATTTGCTGAGGAGTGCTTTACTTCCAACTATGTGGTCAATTTTGGAATAAGTGCAATGTGGTGCTGAGAAGAATGTATATTCTGTTGATTTGAGGTGGAGAGTTCTGTAGATGTCTATTAGGTCTGCTTGGTGCAGAGCTGAGTTCAAGTCCTGGATATCCTTGTTAACCTTCTGTCTCATTGATTTGTCTAATATTGACAGTAGGGTGTTAAAGTCTCCCATTATTATTGTGTGGGAGTCTAAGTCTATTTGTAGGTCTTAAGGACTTGCTTTATGAATCTGGGTGCTCCTGTATTGGGTGCATATATATTTAGGATAGTTAGCTCTTCTTGTTGAATTGATCCCTTTGCCATAATGTAATGATCTTTTTTGTCTCTTTTGATCTTTGTTGGTTTAAAGTCTGTTTTATCAGAGACTAGGATTGCAACCCCTTGCAGAAGAAATTTCTAAGCAGCAAAGCATTCAAGAGGTGACTTGGGTGCTGTTAAAGGCATTCAGTTTTATAAAGAAAGCAGAGCATAAAAGTTCAGAAAATTTGCAGCCTAACAGTGCGACAGAAAAGAAAATCCCATTTGCTGAGGAGAAATTCAAGCTGCCTGCATAAATTTGCATAAGTAACGAGGAGCCAAATGTTAATACCCAAGACAATGGGGAAAATGTCTCCAGAGCATGTCAGAGGTCTTCACAGCAGCCCCACCCATCACATGCTTGGAAGCCTAGGAGGAAAAAGTGGTTACATGGACTGGACCCAGGGTCCCCGTGCTGTGTGTAGCCTAGAGACTTCTTGCCCTGCATTCCAGCCCCTCCAGCATTGGCTGAAAGGAGCCAATGTAGAGCTTGGACTGTAGTTTCAGCAGGAGCAAGCCCCAAGCCTTGGCAGCTTCCATGTGGTGTTGAGACTGCAAGTGCACAGAAGTCAAGAATTGGGGTTTGGGAACTTCTGCCTGGATTTTAGAAGTTGTATGGAAATGCCTGGATGCCCAGGCAGAAGTTTGCTGCAGGGGTGGGGTCCTCATGGAGAACCTCTACTAGGGCAGTGCAGAAGGGAAATGTGGCATCAGAGCCCCCACACAGAGTCCCTACTGGGACACTGCCTAGTGGAGCTGTGAGAAAAGGGCCACCATCCTCCAGACCCCAGAATGGTAGATCCACTGACAGCTTGCACCATTTGCCTGGAAAAGCCGAAGACACTCAACATCAGCCCATGAAGGTAGCCAGGAGGGAGGCTGTATCCTACAAAGCCACAGCAGTGGAGCTGCCCAAGACCATGGGAACCCACCTCTTTCATCAGCCTGACCTCGATGTGAGACATAAAGTCAAAGGAGATCATTTTGGAGCTTTAAGATTTGACTGCCCTGCTGAATTTCAGACTTGCATGGGGCCTGTAGCCCTTTTGTTTTGGCCAATTTCTCCCATTTGGGATGGCTGTATTTACCCAATGCCAGTACCCCCATTGTATGTAGGAAGCAACTAACTTCCTTTTGATTTTACAAGCTCATAGGCAGAAGGGACTTGCCTTATCTTGGATGAGACTTTGGACTGTAAACTTTTGAATTAATGCTGAAATGAGTTAAGCTTTTGGGGGACTGTCAGGGAGGCATGACTAGTTTTGAAATGTGAGGACATAATAGTTGGGTGGAGGCAGGGGTGGAATGACATGGTTTGGTTTTGTCTCCTCTCTCAAAAAAAAAAAAAAAAAAATTTCCAGGCATGGTGGCTCACCCCTGTAATCCCAGCACTTTGGGAGGCTGAGGCGGGCAAATCACTTGAGGGTCAGGAGTTCGAGACCAGCCTGGCCAACGTGGCAAAACTCCGTCTCTACTAAAAATACAAAAATTATCCAGGCATGGCACATGCCTGTAATCTTAGCTACTTGGGAGGCTGAGGCATGAGAATTGCTTGAACCTGGGAGGTGGAGGCTTCAGTGGGCCAAGATCGTGCCACTGTACTCTAGCCTGGATGATGGAGTGAGACTGTCTCAAAATAAATAAATAAATAAAAAGTTGGTCATATCTAAAAATACTTTCACAGCAACATGTAGACTGGTATTTGACGAAATATCTAGGCACCATAGCCTGGCCACAAGTACTCCCCTAGTTCTATCTGGAAAATGCTAATTCTTCCTGCTCATTTAGAGCAGTGACCCTATCTTCCCTTCTCAGGGTCAGCATAAACCCAGCTACATTATGCTGTCACTCCACATAGCTATTGACTTTGATGTTCAGACCCAGTAGCACTGTAGAGGACAAGTCTCCCACAGAGAGTGCTAGCTCTTAGTAAGGAGAGGCAGGCCACTTCTGCGGTTCTAAAGGTTTAGCTAAGGCTAGGTAACACAAATCTTCAGAGGCACTCAACCAGATTTCTCCATCCCATGTTTCAGAATCCCAGATTTTTCCCAACCAAGATTCTGACATTAGCATAACAGACTTCTTTGGTTAAGTGTTTTTGAGCTAGGCAATTCTAACTATTCAATCTTGAATCTGGTTTTCAGCTTTTTCTGCTACTCACTACAGGAGATAAGAGCCTCTTTCTAACAAGGCTCTCTTGCCGTCACAATTAATTTTGCCTTCAGCTTTTCATTATATATATATCCCTCTATGAAGTGTAAATATAACTTATTAACAAGCCAGTGGTCTCACATGCATTGCCTCCTTCCCCATGCCTGAATTATTACACCAACCGAGGCACCCCCCCTTCACCAGAACATCCTCTCAAGTTACCACTGGTGACAGTTTTGGCAACTGGGCCACCACCTTGTATTACAGATGATCCATGATCCAATTTCTACCTTGTGTGATTTTCCTTTAGTCAGAAGAACTTCCTGTAACATTTTTTTTTTGAGATGGAGTTTCGCTCTTGTTGCCCAGGCTGGAGTATAATGGTGCCATCTCAGCTCACTGCAACCTCTGGCTCCTGGGTTCAAGCAATTCTCCTGCCTCAGCCTCCCAAGTAGCTGGGATTACAGGCATGCGCCACCATACCCAGCTAATTTTTTTGTATTTTTAGTACAGAAGGGGTTTCACCATGTTGGCCAGACGGGTCTCAAACCCTTGACCTCAGGTGATCCACCTGCCTTGGCCTCCCAAAGTGCTGGGATTACAGGCATTTGCCACCATACCCAGCTAATTTTTTTGTATTTTTAGTACAGAAGGGGTTTCACCATGTTGGCCAGACTGGTCTCAAACCCTTGACCTCAGGTGATCCACCTGCCTTGGCCTCCCAAAGTGCTGGGATTACAGGTGTGAGCCACCAAGCCCGGCCCCTTTAACATTTCTTGTTGTGCAGGTCTATTGGCAATAAACTTTCTCAGCTTTTATTTGTCTGAATCTATATTTTACCTTAACTTTTATTTATTTTTATTTTTTAAATTTTATTTTATGAATATCTAATCTGCCAGCATTTTAGAAATTTGTTTCTATTTTCTAAATTTTATTTTATGATACTTTCACTTTTAAAGGATATTTTTTCTGGGTATATAGTTCCAGATTGACAGTTTCTGTCCCATTTCAATACTTTATGTTGTTACATTTTTTTCTGGCTTGCATTGTTTATGAAAATGGCCCTGTGTGTAATATGTCTGTTTTTTTTCCTGCTGCATTTAGACTTTGTTTATACACTTCTGTTCGGCAATGTGTTTATTATGTGCCTTGGTTTGGGCCATGTGCTTGTGTGTGTGTATATATGTGTGTATTTATTGGGCTTGATATTTGTTGAACTTCTTGGATCTGTGGGTTTATAGTTTTCAAAAAATTTTAAACTTTTCCAACCATTATTTCTCTACTCCACTGAGATTTGAATTACATGCATGTTACACTGCTTGATATTATCCACAGGTCATTGTAATTGTTCATTATCTTTTGTTCTTTTTCCTCTCTGAGCTTCACTTTGGGTGTATTTCAGTTGACTATGTCTTCAAGTTTACCCGCCTTTCCTTCTGTAGTATCTAATCTGTTAAGCCCATTCAGTGAATTCTTTTATTTAGAATATTGTGTTTTAGTTTCCATTTTACTCTTTTTAGAATTTTTTTTTCTGTATTATGTTTGTATTTCTCTTTAAATTTTTGAACTGCTTTAAAATTCCTGCCTGCACCTGTTATTTCTGGATGATTTATATTAGCTTATTTTTCTCCTGATTATGGGTCACCTTTATTTCTTTTCCTTTTTTTTTTTTTTTTTTTTTGACAGAGTCTCGTTCTTTGTCCAAGTTGGAGTGCAGTGGTGCGATCTCAGCTCACTGCAACCTCCGTCTCCCGGTTCCAGTAATTCTCATGCTTCGTTCTCCTGAGTAATTGGGATTACAGGCATGCGCCACCACGCCTGGCTAATTTTTGTATTTTTAGTAGAGACAGGTTTTCACCATGTTGGCCAGGGTAGTCTTGAATTCCTGGCCCCAAGGGAGTTGCCTGCCTTGGCCTCCCACAGTGCTGGGATTACAGGTGTGAGCCATCACACCTGGCCTATGGGTCATCTTTTCCTCCTTCCTTCTATGTCCAGACATTTTGATTGGACATTAGACATTGAGATTTTATGATCTCCAATATGTAAATTTTGATGTCTTTTTAAAAAGAATGCTAAGCTATTTTGAGATCAGCTTGATACTTTTGAGGCTTGTTTTAAGTTTTATTGGGGTGAACCCAGTACTTTGTAGCCTTTACTCTAGGACTAGTTGAATTCTACTACTATGGTATGAACCTTTTACTACTGTGGTATGAGCCTTCTCAGGTTTCTATCATATGCTGTAGGTGTTCAATAATGTCTCTGTTCTTTAGTTTATTGTTACTTGAATATCTCTCTGCTCTTCTGTGGGTTTTGAGAATCATTCAGCTTGCAGGCCTTCAGTTGCTGTTTTCCAGCCTTATGGAGTTTTACTCTACGTATTCAAAACTTAGTATTCAACAACAGACTCAGTCGGTTCCCATGCAGTTTATTGAAAATCTTTTTCTGTGTGGCCCCCTCTGCTTTGGTACTCTACTCTGAAAATTCCAGCCATTTCAGCCTTCCTTCAATTCAGTGAGACAACTGTGCTCTTTCTCCCTGCTTCATATTCTGTAGAGTACCCCCAAGTAAAAGAAATGGGGCAATCATAGGGCTTTTCTCATTTGTTTCCCTTTCCTTGGGGGTCAGAGATTTGTTATGCTTAATGTCCAAATTCTGAAAACAATTGTTTCATATATTTTGTCCATTCTTCTAAATTTTTTTAATGGCAGTAGGGCAAGTCCAATACTAGCTATCCCATTATGATGGAAGTGGAAGTTTTGTAGAGTAAGTGTTTTGATAGATATGGGCACATAATTAATCCAACCACATAGGTCTTAGAGCAGTCTTGCAAAAAGACTTTCTAGAGAAAAGAATGCCTCCTCTAAAAGAGAAGCCAAAAGGAGAAGAGGTAAAGGATATTTTAGGATATTTCAGATAAGGAAGTAGCATACACAGAGGCAGAGAGGCATCCTAGAACTATCAAAAATATAGCTGAAGCCTACAATAAGACTTGCAGAGAAGCGAGGAGAGAAATAAAGAGAGATTATTTAGGAGGACATCAATCATGAATATTTTCCTTTTGTATTTAATATAGCAAAGTGGACTAAAAAAGGATGCTTAATTAAGGTATAGGCAGTGATTTGAACATTGTAATTTCTTAATTACAGTGTAATTGTAAAGTGACGGTTATGAAAACTATATAGCAGTGAGGGGGTGTTTATAATATGTTACATGAAAACATCAGAAGGTAAACATTTGTACATATACTAATATCATATTTTTTAAAAAAATCAGATGCATAGGAAATAACATCATAAGGAAATGTACCAAAAAAATTGTACAAATGTGGTAGAAAATGAATAATGGTTGGCCAGGAGCAGTGGCTCATGCCTATAATCCCGGCACTTTGAGAGGCCGAGATGGATGGATTGCTTAAGCTTAGTAGTTCAAGATCAGCCTGGGCAACATGTTGAAACCCTGTCTCCACCAAACAAAATACAAAAATTAGCCGGGCATGGTGGTGTGTGCCTGTGATCCTAGCTAATTGAGAGGCTGAGGAAGAAGGATCATTTGAACCCAGGGGGGCAGAGGTTGCTGTGAACTGAGATTGCACCACTGCACTCCAGCCTGGGTGACAGAGCAGACCCTGTCTCAAAAAAATAAATAGATAGATAAATAAATAAATAAATAAAAATAAAGAATAATAGTAGCTGGGCATGGTGGCATATGCCTGTAATCCCAGCTACTCAGGAGACTGAGGCAGGAAAATCACTTGAACCCGGGAAGCGAAGGTTGCAGTGAGAAGAGATCGCACCACTGCACTCTAGCCTGGGTGACAGAGTGAGACTCTGTCTCAAAAAAAAAAAAAAAAAAAAAAAAAAAAAAGGATAGTGAATATCCACTAAAATAAATAAAAATAAAGAATAGTGGATATTGGTATGATCCTTCTCAGGAAAGAGCACAGACAAAGCACAGAAGTTTCACTGAATTGAAGAGAGAAAGAGATCAAAAGTTAGGGAAGCTGAGCTGGCTGGAATTTTCAGAGCAGGGTACCAAAGCAGAGGGAACTACACAGAAAACGGTTTTCCCTCACTTTTTAATGTTTCAGATACAGACACACATTGGAGATATTGTAGATTCGGAACCAGACCACTACAATAAAACTAGATCTCATTAACGCAAGACACACGAATTGTTTGGTTTTCAGTTATGTTTAGACTATCTGGTAGTCTATTAAGTGTGCAATAGCATTATGTCTAAAAAAGGCTAATGATCATCTGAGGTTTCAGCAAGTTGTAATCTTTGCTTGTGGGGAGGGTCTTGCCTCAATGTTGATGGCTGCTGACTGACCAGAGTGGTGGTTGTTGAAGGGTGGGGTGGCTGTGGCAATTTCTTTTAGGGAGACCAGAATGTTTACTGCATTGGTTGACTCTTCATTTCATGAAAGATTTCTCTGTAGCATGTTATATTATTTGATAGCATTTTACCCACAGAAGAACTTTTAAAAAAAATTTGGAGAGATGGCAGCTATAGCCTCATAAAATGTATTTCTTAATTAGTAAGACTTGAAATCAAAATTATCCCTTACTCCATGGACTGCAGACTGGATGTTGTATTAGCAGACATGAAATCAGCGCTCATCTTCTTGTACATCTCCATCAGAGCTCTGGGGTGACTACATGCATTGTCAATGAGAGTAATACTTTGAAAGAGAGTTTTTTTTTTTTCTTTCTGAGCAGTAGGTCTTAACAGTGGGCTTAAAATATTCAGTAACCCACGCTATAAACAGATCTGTTGTCCTTTAGGCTTTGTTTTTCCATTTATAGAGCACAGGCAGAGTAGATGTAACATAAATTTTAAGGCCTTAGGATTTTTTGAATGATAAATGAGCATTGGCTTCAACTTAAAGATACCAGCTGCACTGGCCTCTAATAAGAGAGCCAACCTGTCCTGAGAAGCTTTGATGCCAGACATTGACATCTCTTCTCTAGCTAGGAAAGTCCTAGATGGCATCTTTTTTCAATAGAAGACTGTTTTATCTACATTGAAAATCTGTTATTTGGTGTAGCCACCTTTATCAATGATCTTAGCTAGATTTTCTGAGTAACTTGCTACAGCTTCTCCATTAGCATTTGCTGTTTCACCTTGTACTTTTATGTTACGGAGATGGCTTTTTCTTTAAATGACATGAACCAACCTCTGCTAGTTTTGAACTTTTCTGCAGTTTTCTTACCTCTCTCAACCTTCATAGAATTGAAGAGAGTTAGGGCCATGTTCTAGATTAGGCTTTGGCTCAAGGGAATGTTGGAGTTGATTTCTTATTTAGATCACTAAAACGTTTCCTATATCAGCAATAAGGCTATTTTGCTTTTGTAACATTCGTGTGTTCCCTGGAATAGCACTTCCTTCACAAGCTTTTCTTTTGCATTTACAACTTGGCTAACTGGTGCAAGAGGCCTAGCTGTCAGCCTATCTCACTTTTTGACTTGCCTTCCTCGCTAAGCTTAATCATATCTAGCTTTTGATTTAAAGTGAGAGATGTGTGACTCTTCCTTTTACTTGAACACTTAGAGGCAATTGTAGGGTTATTAACCAGCCTAATTGCAATATTATTGTGTCTCAGGGAATAGGGAGGCCAGAGGAGAAGGAGAGAGGAGAAGGGAATGGCTAGAAAGTGGAGCAGTCAGAACACACACAAAATGTGTTAAGTTTGCTATTTTATACGGGAATGGTTTGTGGTGGTCCTGAAAGAATTACAATAGTAACATCAAAGATCACTGATCACAGATCATCTTAACAGGTAATAATAATGAAAAAGTTGGAAATATTCTGAGAATATCAAAATGTGACATGAAGACACAAAGTGGGCACATGCTGCTGGAAAAATGACATTGATAGCCTTACTTGATACAGGGTTGTCACCAACTTTGCATTGTAAAAGTGTACTATCTGTGAAGCACAAACAAGTGAAGTGCAATAAAATGAGGTATGCCTGTATTCTGTGCTTTGATACTAAAAAGGGTGTTGTTGAGGAAAATGTCAATGCATATACATACGTGCATACCTACATACATACAACTCTTCCCTTCAGTGCTTTCGTTTTCTACTCTGTAAAGTGGAAATTTTGATAGTATGTCTCTTATTTTGTGTGTGAATTAAATGGGATATAATGTATTTATATAAGCATTTAGCAGCACAATCCATGATCCATATTCAGGGTGTGTATTAGTCCATTTTCACACCACTGATAAAGACATACCTGAGACTGGGTAATTTGTAATGAAAAAGAGGTTTAATGGACTCACAGTTCCACGTGGCTGGGGAGGCCTCACAATCATGGCAGAAGGTGAAAGGCATGTCTTACATGGCGACAGACAAGAGAGAATGGGAGCCAATTGAAAGGGGAAACCCCTTATGAAACCATCAGATCTCATGAGACTTACTACCACGAGAACAGTATGGGGAAAACTGCCCCCATGATTCAATTATCTCCCACCGGGTCCCTCCCACAACACATGGGAATTACTGGAGCTACAATTCAAGATGAGATTTGGGTTGGAACACAGCCAACCCATATCAGTGTGTCACGTTTTTTGTTTTTTTTTTTTCACCAGGACTACTGTTGCATTCATGTGGGATATTTATTATGCTGTATTATGCAATATTCCTGGGTCCCAATCACTATGTACATGTAGTCATAGTGACTATAAAAAAATGTTATCACATACTTCCAAATATTTTTGGCTGAAAACTACATGTGAAAGAGTTATGAATTAAAAAGTATAGGAATAGATATATGAAGGTAAGGGTTCTTTCTTGCTCTCAATTCTTTGGTAAAACAGAATCCTTCACATGAAAAACAAAACAAAAGCAATGTGGTGTGGTGGGAGATGCACAGAACTGGGAATGAGAAGACTTGGGATCTTGGTTTTTCTCTATCGTAAGCAAATTCCTTAGTCTCTGTGGGTTAATTTCCTTCTTGTAGAATGAGGCCGTGGTCCAAGCTACCATCAAGAGTCTTCCTAGCTCTAAGAGTGGATTATTTTTATGCATTGAAGGAATAATTTTTCTGACATGCCTTTTTTTATACAGCAAAGGTGGACATTCAGACCAGTTTTGCAACTTGTAAGTCACAGAGGGGAGGAATTTAGATTCTATCACCCTTTCTCAAATTTAGATGCTATCAGATAATCCAGAGGTCAGCCTCCCGAGTAGCTGAGATTACAGGCGTGTACCACCACACCAGGCTTTTTTTTTTTTTTTTTTGAGATGGACTTTCACTCTTGTTGCCCAGGCTGGAGTGCAATGGCGCGATCTCGGCTCACTGCAACCTCCACCTCCTGAGTTCAAGCGATTCTCCTGCCTCAGCCACCCGAGTAGCTGGGATTACAGGTGCCTCAGCCACCCGAGTAGCTGAGATTACAGGTGCCCGCCACCACGCCCAGCTAATTTTTTGTATTTTTAGTAGAGACGGTATTTCACCATGTTGGCCAGGCTGGTCTTGAACTCCTGACCTCAGGTGATCCACCCACCTCAGCCTCCCAAAGTGCTAGGATTACCACATCCGGCCCAGCTAATTTTTGTGTTTTTAGTAGAGATGGGTTTTCACCATGCTGGCCAGGCTGGTCTCAAACTCCTGGCCTCAGATGATCTGCCTGCTTTGGCCTTCCAAAGTGCTGGGATTACAGGTGTGAGCCACTGCGCCCAGCCAGTCTACCTTTAATACTAATAACAGTGAAACAGTGAATTCACTAGGATCCCAAACTTCTCATGTCCACCCTTCCTATGGGGTCCTGGATGAAGTTTCCTTCCTGCTGCTGCTACTCCAGGTGTACCTTACTGCTCTGGCACTTGCTGGGCTCATGCCAACACTGTTGCTTTATCCCTTACTGGTATCACTGGCCTGCCTGGGAATGGAAAAGTTGTATTTGGTTCACAAAGAACTTTAAAACGTCTTCCCTCTGGCTGGAGTGAAATGCATTTCATAGTGATTCAGTGTCCTAGGCCAAACAACTCCTTTCAAATGATGAACTTCAGCACCACCCTGACTCATGTGTCTGAACTCTTTCTTACCTGGGGATGATTTTACCCCATATAAAAAAGAAATGATCATTATTTCTTCCCTTCTTCTTTTCTTTTTTTTTTTGGTTTGTTCCTAGGACTGAACACAGACTAAATGTCTAATCAATGTTTATTTGAATAAATGGATAAATCCATGAAACATAATATTTAGGTAACATAGGAAAAGTCGTGTAGTGCAGCCTTTATGTATTTAAATATACCTGTGTAATACATTTGCACATGTTTTTAGACATTATGATTTATTGGGGATATGTAATTTTTAACAAAGTATAACTATACCTGTGTTTCGAAACACTTCTTATTGAAGAATGAAATACAAATCTTTTTCTTTTTCTTTTTTTTTTTTTTTTTTGAGATAGGATCTCACTCTGTCACCCAAGCTGGAGTACATTGGTGCAATCTTGGCTCACTGCAACCTCCCCATCCATCGTGATCCAGGTTCACACGATCCTCCCACCTCAAGCCTCCCAAGTAGTTGGGACCACAGGCATGTGCCACCACTCCCAGCTAATTTTTTTTGTGTTTTTGGTAGAGATAGAGGTTTCACCAGGTTGCCCAGGCTGGTCTCAAACTCCACCCACCTTGGTCTCCCAAAGTGCTGGGATTACAGGCATGAGCCACTGTGCCCAACCGAGATACAGATCTATGTTAATAAAATGACATGAAGAACCTAGGTCAAGGAGGGATGAATCCATATCGCTCTCTCTGTATCTAGTTAGCTATACCCTCTCAACTCAATCTCTGTCTCTCAAAACTTTTTTTTTTTTTTTTGAGATGGAGTCTTACTCTGTTGCTCAGGCTGGAGTGCAATGGCACAGTCTCAGCTCACTGCAACCTCCGCCTGCCGGGTTCAAGCGATTCTTCTGCCTCAGCCTCCTGAGTAGCTGGGATTACAGGCACCCGCCAACACGCCTGGCTAATTTTTGTATTTTTAGTAGAGACGGGGTTTCACCATGTTGGCCACGCTGGTCTCGAACTCCTGACCTCGTGATCCACCTGCCTCGGCCTCCCAAAGTGTTGCGATTACAGCCACCACGCCCGGCCTGACTCAAAACGTTTTCTTCACATTTTTAGTATTAGTAATGACAAGGAGGGACACACACAGTTTAATAATTTATTATAAATATATGGTATCTCTCCAAACACTCACAGAATGTATTAGGTGATCCATACTAGGTCTCTCAATTATTCTTGTGACTAACTGCTTGGATGACCACGAGGAACACTGTGCTGTTATTGGAGACTGTGTGAATAGAGAACCCAGAGTGGTGCAGCCACATGCAGCAACCCTAGCATACATTTCCAAAAATTTTATGGACCTATTTTTCTATCCCCTCATTTGAAAAATCATAGAGCACAACTCTCAGGTTAGATCACTATCATATCTTAGCATTAAACTGGGAGTCTGCTAAATTATTCTATTTAAGAATTTTGATCATTTTAACAATAAAAATAATGTACTAATAGTGTGTCTTCTCAGAAATTGTTTTCTTTCTTTTCTTTTTTTTTTTATTAAGAGACAGGGTCACCCTATGTTGCCTGGGCTGGTCTCGAACTCCTGGGCTCAAAACAATCCTACAATCTCAGCCTCCCAAAGTGCTGGGACTCCAGGCATGAGCCACACTGCCTGATTCAGAAATCTTTTTGAAGATATTTTTAATAGAGTCATTTTAGTCTACAAAGAATTTCATTATTTCATTGTGTTTCTACATTAACCCAGTGTATAGGATCTGCAATTCTCACTTCATCAAATTGAGAACTGAGGATCAGCGAGGGATAGCAACTTACCCAAAGTCACACAGCTATTTGGGGATAGACCTAGGATTCCAACTGCTGCTTTTAATTGCAATAATCTTTTCATTATGCTACTTTTTATAAAAGTTAGAAATAAGTTGCATGTGCCAGAGAGAATTTCAATGACCTCATAGGTGTGTATGAAATCATGAGCTGTTTAATGATATTACATAAAAGCTCAAAAGAGCAGAAAACCCACCCACGGATATCAGAAGGGTCCTTCTGGGAAATTTAATTTTATTGTACTTTATAGTTTAGAAAATTTATTTTATTATTATATAATTGGTTTATTGACTCACTCATTAATTCACCATACATTTTTCTAGTGTTCATGATTGATAAGGCATTTACCTGAACAGTCTGTGACTGGCAAAAATGAGTCAGAGACAATCACTGGCATCATGAAATGAACTAACTCAGAGTCCACAAGGAACAATAATAGCAGACAGAATGTTATAAATGCCATACCAGAGGTGTGAACATAATGTTATGAGAAATTAGCAGAGAAACACGAGAGGCAACATAATTTGAATTATTGTCCATATTAAATGTGTATCACTCTTGTAGTAATAATAAAAGATTATTTGTTGTTTAAAGAAGAGATATTATTAATTTCATGGTAGGAAAACAATGGTATAAAATTGGCCATGCCATATTGCCCAAAGTAATGTATAGATTCAATGCTATCCCCATCAAGCTACCATTGACTTTCTTCACAGAATTAGAAAAAAACTACTTTAAATTTCATATGGAAGCAAAAATGAGCCCATATAGCCAAGATAATCCTAAGCAAAAAGAACAAAGCTAGAGGAATCACACTACCTGACTTCAAACTATACTACAAGGCTACGGTAACCAAAACAGCATGGTACTTGTACCAAAACAGATACATAGACCAATGGAACAGAACAGAGGCCTCAGAAATAATGCCACACATCACTATTCACAATATCAAAGACTTGGAACCAACCCAAATGTCCAACAATGATAGACTGGATTAAGAGAATGTGGCACATATACACCATGGAATACTATGCAGCCATAAAAAATGACGAGTTCATGTCCTTTGTAGGGACATGGATGAAATTGGAAATCATCATTCTCAGTAAACTATCACAAGGACAAAAAATCAAACACCACATGTTCTCACTTATAGGTGGGAATTGAACAAAGAGAACACATGGGCACTGGAAGGGGAACATCACACTCTGGGGACTGTTGTGGGGTGGGGGGAGGGGGGAGGGATAGCATTAGGAGATATACCTAATGCTAAATGACGAGTTAATGGGTGCAGCACACCAGCATGGCACATGTATACATATGTAACTAACCTGCACATTGTGCACATGTACCCTAAAACGTAAAGTATAATAATAATAAAATAAAATTTAAAAAAATAAATAATGTCACACATCTACAACCATCTAATCTTTGACAAACCTGACAAAAACAAGCAATAGGGAAAGGATTCCCTATTTAATACATGGCGTTGGGAAAACTGGCTAGCCATATCCAGAAAACTGAAACTGGACCCCTTCCTTACACCTTATACAAAAACTAACCCAAGATGGATTAAAGCCTTAAACGTAAGACCTCAAATCATAAAAACCCTAGAAGAAAACCTAGGCAACACCATTCAGGACATAGGCATGGGCAAAGACTTCATGACTAAAACACCAAAAGCAATGGCAACAAAAGCCAAAATTGACAAATGGGATCTAATTAAACTAAAGAGCTTCTGCACAGCAAAAGAAACTATGATCAGAGTGTACAGGAAAAAAAAAAGAAAGAAAGAAAAGAAAAAAGAAAAAAGGTTTGTATTTCATTCTTCAATAAGAAGTGTTTCAAAAAAAATGTATAGTTATACTTTGTTAAAAATTACGTATCCCTACAGAATGGGAGAAAATTTTTGCAATCTACCCATCTGACAAAGGACTAATATCCATAATCTACAAAGAACTTAAACAAATTTACAAAAACAAAAACAAAAAAAACCAGCCCCACCAAAAAGTGGGTGAAGGGTATGAACAGACAATTCTCAAAAGAAATTTATGTGGCCAAAAAACGTATGAAAAAAAGCTCATCATCACTGGTCATTAGAGAAATGCAAATCAAAACCACAATGAGATACCATCTCACACCAGTTAGAATACTGATCATTAAAATGTCAGGAGACAACAGATGCTGGAGAGGATGTGGAGAAGCTTTTACACTGTTGGTGGGAGTATAAATTAGTTCAACTATTGTGGAAGACAGTGTGGCAATTCTTCAAGGATCTAGAACCAGAAATACCATTTGACCCAGCAATCTCATTACTGGGTATATACCCAAAGGATTCAAAATCATTCTACTATAAAGACACATGCACATGTATGTTTATTGTGCACTGTTCACAATAGCAAAGACTTGAAACCAACCCAACTGCCCATCAATGATAGACTGGATACAGAAAATGTGGCACATACACAGCATGGAATACTATGCAGCCATAAAAAAGGATGAGTTCATGTCCTTTGCAGGGACATGGATGAAGCTGGAAACCGTCATTCTCAAGCTGACACAGGAACAGAAAACCAAACACCGCATGTTCTCACTCATAAGTGGGAGTTGAACAATGAGAACACATGGACACAGGGAGGGGAACATCAGACACTGGGGCCTGTTGGGGGTTGGGGGGCTAGGGGAGGGATAGCATTAGGAGAAATACCTAATGTAGATGATGGGTTGATGAGTGCAGCAAACCACCATGGCATGTGTATACCTACGTAACAAACCTGCACATTCCGCACATGTATCCCAGAACTTAAAGTATTGAAAATAATAATAACAATAAATAAACAAATAAATAAATAAATAAATAAATAAATAAATAGTGGCCATGGAGAGACAGGCATATATAAACACAAAGTTCTTGTTTCTTTGCCCACTGAGTTAACAGGAGAAGGAAAAGAAGCCGCCTTCTCTGGTAAAATTCCAAAAATGCTGTCACCTTGAGAAAATCAGCTTTCAGTTAAGATAAGTAAAATGAAGAATTTTTAGGGCTGCAGGGCAGGGGGTGGGGCAGAGTGGGTCTTGGCTACTATCTTGCACAACTCCCCATTTTAAAGTTGAAGAGGCCAGGTGCAGTGGCTTACACCTATAATCCCGGCACTTTGGGAGGTCGAGGCAGGTGGAGCACTTGAGGTCAGGAGTTCAAGACCAGCCTGGCCAACATAACGAAACCCCATGTCTACTAAAAACACAAAAATTAGCCGGGCTTGTGGCACACGCCTGTAATCCCAGCTACTCAGGAGGCTGAGGCAGGAGAATCGCTTGAACCTGGGAGGTGAAGGCTGCAGTGAGCCGGGATCGCGCCACTGCACTCCAACCTGGGTGACAGAGTGAGACTCCATCTCAAAAAAAAAAAAAAAAAAAAAAAGTTAAAGAGACTAAGGCATAAATAAGTAAAGATACTTGCTCAAGATCACATAATCAATCAAAATAGAAAGGGAACTCATACTTAGATCTCCAGACCCCACACTGCTCTCATTGAAATATGTAGAATACCATCTGAGGCAAAGAGTTAGGTTACCCTTATTAAATATCTACAGTTGGCCGGCACGGTAGCTCATGCCTGTAGTCCCAGCACTTTGGGAGGCTGAGGCGGGCAGATCACTTGAGGTCAGGAGTTCGAGACCAACCTGGCCAAAATGGTGAAACCCTGTCTCTACTAAAAACTACAAAAATGTAATCCCAGCTACTTGGGAGGCTGAGGCAGGAGAATCGCTTGAACCTGGGAGGCGGAGGTTGCAGTAAGCCGAGATTCCCCCCTTGCACTCCAGCCTGGGTGACAGAGCAAAACTCCGTCTCAATAGAAAGAAAGAAAAAAAATCGACAGTTATGCCTCAAAATTAAATTAACAACACTGGTTACTTAATGTTACCAGGATGATATCTATTATATATACAAGAGGTGTCATATATATA
The DNA here is from genome assembly GCF_000001405.40 of Homo sapiens. Lineage (NCBI taxonomy): Eukaryota > Metazoa > Chordata > Mammalia > Primates > Hominidae > Homo > Homo sapiens. Next base: position 56,594,495 of record NC_000001.11, on the reverse strand, counting down.
TGTAGGTCCTTTTGGATCCACTTTCAAAATATATATATGTCTACCTGACATCTTGACACTTAGATATCTAATAGATATTTCAAATGTAATATGTCCAAAACTGAATTTTTGATCTTTCCTCCCCAGACCTGCTTCACTCTCAGTCTTCCTCATTTCTTTTGATGGCAGCTCCTCCATCCTTCTAGTTATTCAGGCTAAAACCCTTGGAGTTATCTTTGATGCCTCTCTTTTTATCCTACTGCATACCGATTTTGTCAACAAATCCTGTGGAATCTGTCTTAAGAATATATCCAGGAACTGACCATCCTTACCACCTTCTCTACTGTGACCACCTTAATTCAATGGACAGTCATCTCTCTCTTGGATTACTGCAATAGCCTCTGAACCAAACTCCTTGCTTCTACCTTTGTCCTTTGTTTTGTTCTCAAAACAGCCAGAATGAGCTTTTTAAAATATTAAGTCAGATCATCACTTTTCTGACTCCCATCTAAAATGGACATTCATTTTGTTTAGAGTAAAAGCTGAAGTCCTTTCAGTGGCAAAAATATTTATAGCAGCATTACTCATAATAGCCAAGAAGTGGAAAAAGCTAAATAAACATATAAACAAAAATGTGTTGTATCCATACAATGGAATAATATTTAGCATTAAAAAAAGTGAAGAACTGATATGTGTTACAATTTGGATGAACCTTGAAAATATTATGAGGCTGGGCACGGTGGCTCATGCCTGTAATCCCAGCACTTTGGGAGGCTGAGGCAGGGGGATCACCTGAGGTCAGGAGTTCGAGACTAGCCTGGCCTAAGTGGTGAAACCCCGTCTCTACTAAAAATGCAAAAATTAGCTGGGCTTGGTGGTGGGTGCCTGTAATCCCATCTACTCGGGAGGCTAAGGCAGAAGAATTTCTTGAACCCAGGAGATGGAAGTTGCAGTGAGCTAAGATCACACAACTGCACTCCAGCCTGAACAACAGAGTGAGACTCCATCTCAAAAAAAAAAAAAAAGAAAGAAAAGAAAATATTATGTTAAGTGAAAGAAGCCAGTCACAAAAGATCACACATTGTATAACACTATTTATATGAAATGATGAAATGTCCAGAATAGGCAAATCCATGGAGACATAAAGTCAATTAGGAACTACCTAGGGCTAGAGGGGTTGGAGGAAACAGGGAGTGACTGCTAATTGCTATAGGGTTTCTTTTAGGGATGATAAAAATGTTCTAAAATGGATCGTGGTGATGATACGGGTCTCTGTGAATGGACTAAAACCATTGCATGGTATAGCATAAATGGGTGTATGTTATGGTATGTGAATTACATTTCTATATTACATTGCTATAAATCTGTTTTGTAAAAAAGAGAGGTAATAGAAAGGAAGGAAAGAACATAATAAAAGGGGCAGTAATAATAATAATAATAATAGTAATAATAAGGCCCCATATTAGGAAGGAACTTAATATCTATGAGTTGACAGATATCATGGTACCTATGATATTAGAGAGAAGGCCAATATCCTTAAGGTGTACGAACAAGTTGGAAAATAAGCTGCAGTCAGATAAGGACCATAGTATGAGGATTTTAAATTTTACCAGAACCCCCAAAAGAAAGATTTAGAGGGATTTATGCAAGCAAATGACATAATCAGATTTCCATTTAAAAAATCATTCTGTCTGGCTGGCGTGGGGAGAATTAGAAGTGGGAAAGTGTAGAAACTGGGAGAGCAATTAAAAGTTATTGCAGTGGACTAGGAAGAAAGGATGGTTGAAATGAAGGCAGATATAAGAGATGGACTTTGGTGTCTATTTTGGAGACAGAATCAGTGAAAGTTGGCAAACTGAGTGGACGTACGGCATGAAGGATATGAGTAGATGGAGATCCCACTTGCTTAGATTGAGAAACCCTGGGGAAGAGTCATTTTAGGTGTAGTTCTGGCTACACTAAATTTGAGATGCGTTTGAAAATAACCCTGTAGACACACACATCAACAGTTTGATATATGGTTTAGATTGGGTTTAAATATTGGCTCTGCCATTTACTAGCTACGTGACACTGAAAACCATTATTATTTTTCCGGATTCCTTCATCTGTAAGATGGAGATAACATAACCTGCAGTAGCCAACTAATAATCTACTGGCTTATTACAGCTTGTTGGTTTAAGGCACAGACTCTGAACCTCCAACTGCCTGCATTTGGATCCTGGCTTTGACATGACTATAGTTGTATGATCTTGGAGAAGTTACTTAATCTCTTTAAGTCTAATTTTCTTAATCCCAAAATGGGGATAATAATAGCACCTATCTCATAGGGTTGTTAAATAAAGATACGCATTAGATAATATATGCAAAGTGCTTGGGGCTGGCACTTAGTAAGCAGATATAAGTGGTAGTTAATGATATTATCTCACTGGGTTGACATGAAGAGATGAGATAATACATACGAAAGGAACCAGCACGTATTAGATATTCAAAGAATGTTACTAAAGTTTCCTTCCTCATTTTTCACCTGAATTTTGTCTTAATTAAACTTTCCACTTTTATTTGGACTAGGTTAACCTAGACATTTTCTCAGTATGGTAAAGCCCAGTAAATTGCCCACCAGTTTAAGATGGGAGATAAAGGCCAATGAACATTGCCGCAGGAGCAGAAAATGAAGAAAAGAATGTCTAAATGGGGAGGCACAATCCAGGTTGGGGAGACAGAATGCAATCAGCAAATATGAACAGTGGACCAGACCATATCATTCCTGAGAAAAGTGGGATTGGTTTGGAACATTGGCTGCTATGAGATGAACCCCACAGCTGTGTGTTTTATCTAATGAATAACAAAGAAGCAGGCCTCTTCAAATGAGGACACGACTTCAACAATATGTAAGAGCATCATGCACTCCTCCTGAGAGCTTTGTGTGTGTGCCATCCCCACTGGTCCTTCATTCATTCACTCACTTGCGCATTTGTTTATTTTCTAGTTTATTCAACAAATATTTACTGAGCACCAGGCATCAGGGAGACAGAAGGGGGAAAAAGGTGAATGTTCTTAGCTCGATGGAGTGTGAAATATAGTGGGGGAAGACAGGAAAGGAACGACAAGTAGAATATACAGTGTCAGGCCGGGCGCAGTGGCTCACGCCTGAAATCCCAGCACTTTGGGAGGCCAAGACAGGCGGATCACCTGAGATCAGGAGTTCAAGACCAGCCTGGCTAACATGGCAAAACCCCGTCTCTACTAAAAAATGCAAAAACATTAGCCAGGCGTTGCAGTAGGCGCCTGTAATCCCAGCTACTCCGGAGGCTGAGGCAGGAGAACCACTTGAACCAGGGAGGCGGAGGTTGCAGTGAGCCGATATCATGCCATTGCACTCCAGCCTGGGTGATAAGAGTGAAACCCTGTCTCAGAAAAAAGAAGAAGAAGAAGGAATATACAGTGTCAGATAAATTCTATGGAGAAAAAGAAAGCAAGGGCATCAGGGGAGATGCAGACACGGTAGCAAAGTAAAAGTTTGAAGAAGGGGAGCACTCCAACAGAGGGAACATTTCGTGCAAAGGCCCTGCTCATTGTATCTCTGTCATTCTGAATCCCATTTTCCCATCCTCCAAAATTTAAAGAAATAGAAAAGTTTCACCGGGCTGAGGAAGGTAATGTTCTTAGTATTAGTTTCTAGGGCTGCTGTAACAAATTACCACAAGTTGGGTAACTTACAACAACAGAAATATGTTATCTTACAGTTCTGGAGGCCAGCAGTCCAAAATCCAGCAGGGCCACATTCCTCCAGGGAACTTCTGGAAAGGGCTCATTCCTTGCCAATTTCAGCTTCCGGGGGTTGCATCAGCATTTCTGGCTGCATCTCTCCAATCTCTGCCTCTGTCTTTACATGGCCTTCTTTGTGTGCCCATGTCTTCTCTTCTGTCTCTTATAAGGACACTTATCCTTGGATTTAGGGTCCACCTGAGTAATTCAGGATGATCACATCTAAAGATCCTTAAGCCAGGCGCAGTGGCTCATGCCTATAATCCCAGTGCTTTGGGAGGCTGAGGCGGGTGGATCACAAGGTCAGGAGATCAAGACCATCCTGGCTAACACGGTGAAACCCCGTCCCTACTTAAAATACAAAAAATTAGCTGGGCGTGGTGGCACGCACCTGTAGTCCCAGCTACTCGGGAGGCTGAGAAAGGAGAATCGCTTGAACCCAGGAGACAAAAGTTGCAGTGAGCCAAGATCGCACCGCTGTACTCCGGCCTGGGCGTCAGAGCTAGCCTCCGTCTCAAAAAAAAAAAAAAAAATCCTTAATTTAATTACATCTGCAATGACTCATTTCCAAATAAGGTCATAGTCACAGATTCTGGCCATTAGGATATGAATAGATCATTTGGGGGGCTACCATTCAATCCACTACACTCAATAAAGGCGTTTCAGTTCTTCTTTGTCCATGTTATGGACTTTCTCACGTTCCTCATCTTTTTTCTCTAAGTTGAAAAGTTGTCTTTGAGAAAAGTTTTTTCTTTTCTTTTCTTGTTTCTTTTCTCCCTCTCTCTCTCTCTCCCTCCCTTCCTCCCTCTCTCTCTCTTTCTCTTTCTTGGAGTGTCTATACAGACATAAGTGAGGTAGATGACTGAGAATTATCTGAGATAGAGACTTTCATATGGCCACAGCCATTAATATGGTTCAAGGACAAAATCATGTTGGCATCTGTTCGGGAATTGCAATGAGTAAGTACGTTAAAATTTCAGAATAATTATTTCTCTGTTGGCCAAACAGGAAATGGATAAATATAACCAATGTTCACAATTTGGAAAATTGAACAAATTCTTCTGTTTACCCCTTTTCCCATTCATACCATACATAGCTAAGTTATGTTGCCATCCTTATTCATACTTTCATTTATACTTTTTCTACTTTTTGACTGTTTAAATCTTTGTTGCAGTATAACATACGTGCAATCGGTACAAAAGCTTTATGTTCACATATTAATCTCACACTGTTTTTACATATCTGTTTAACCATGTAATCATCATTCAAATCAAACATTCAGAAGGCTTCTTCCCACTTAACAATCCCTTCCCCAAAGGTGACCACATAGTATGCACTCCTGTGTAAATTTCTTTTTTTTTTTTTGACATATGTCTGAAAGATGCATCCAAGCCCTTTTGTGTAGCAGTGGTTTACTTTTTTCAGTACTGCATAGTATTTCACTGCGTATCACTGTATGATATATATTTATTCTAATTTCTGTTGTTTCCATTTGTGAGTTATCATGAATAAAGCTGCTATGAACCTTATTGTACAAGTCTTTTGGTAGACAAATGTCATCATTTTTGATGGCCGTATCCCTAGAAGTGGAATTACTGGGCCATCGAATAGACATAGGTTTGGTTTTAGTAGATTTTACCCAAGAGTTTTCCAAAGTAGCTATACCAATTATCTCTCCAGTTGGTCCATATCTTCACCATTTGATATTGTCAAGCTTCCAAACGTTAGCCATTCTGATGGGTATATATTGGTGTGGAGTGGTATTTCATTGTGGTTTTAATTTGCATTTCCCTAATGACTAATGATGTTGAGCACTTTGTCATATGTGTATCGGTCACTTGTATATCCTCTTTTGTTAACTGCCTATTCAAGAATTTTGCCCCCCCCTTTTTTTTAAAAAAAAAAAAAGACCACATCTTTGCTTGTCTGTCTTTTTCTTATCGGTTTGTAGGAGTTCTTTTACATACTCTGAATATACATCCTTTTAGTGAATATCCTTTTTGGCCATGTATTGTTCCAATCTGCGGCTTACCTTTTCATTTTCTTAATTTTATGTTTTAGGGGTCAAACTTTTTTTGTAAAGAGCCAAATAATAAATATTTTAGGTTTTGCAGGTCATGTGGTCTCTTTTGCAACTAGTCAGCTATGCCATTTAGTGCAAAAGCAGCTACACACAATACGTTTACTGAATAAGCAAAAACTTTATCATTCTTCTTTTGATTGTTTTTCGGCCATGTAAAAATTTAATAATTATTCTTAGCTCACATATTGTACAAAAACACTTGACAGGCTGGATTAAGTTTATAGTCTGATATGGTTGGGCTATGTCCCCACCTAAATCTTATTTTGAATTGTAATTCCCATAACCCCCATGTGTCATGGGAGGTACCAGGTGGAGATAACTGAATCGTGGAAGCGGTTTCCTCCATCCTGTTCTCGTGATAGTGAGTTAGTTCTCACAAGATCTGATAGTTTTATAAGGAGCTTCACCACCCCCTCCACTTGCTCTGCACTTCTCCTTGCTGCCACCATGTGAAGAAGGACGTGTTTGCTTCCCCTTAAGCCATGATTAGAAGTTTCCTGAGGCCTCCCCAGCCCTGTGGAACTGTGAGTCAATTAAACCTCTTTCCTTTATAAATTACTCAGTCTTGGGTATATCCTTATAGCAGCGGGAGAACAGACTAATACACAGTCCATAGTTTGGCAGCTCTGGTGTATTTTATAAATACAAATTATGAATTTTAATGAATTTCAGTTTATCCGTTTCTTCTTTTGTCATCAATGCTTTTTTATTACTATTTAAGAAATGTTTGCCTATCCCAAAATCATGAATATATTATCCTTCATCTTATTCTAGAAGTTTCATTTTATTATTCATGTTTATGTCTATGATCCATCTGGGATTAGGTGTTATGAATGATGTAAAATACAGGTTTCACACATGTGCTTCTATGTACTTAAGTTATTATACATCTTTTTCAATTTTATTATGCAACTATGACTTATCTGTTCGTTGAAGCTTTCCCTGATACCCTTACCTTGTGCTTGTAACTTTCCTCTAGTCATTCTTTCAACAACTACTTTTTGAAGCCTTATTATTATGTACCATGTTAGGAACATGGTATGGTTTGTGTCTGAAGATATGTGTATTTACTTGCTCATTTAATCATTCATCAAATTTCATGATTTCATCAAATTTCATGAAGAAAATTATAGTTTTTTGAAGAAAACAATTTAAACTTTACAATGAAATATGATAATATTGCAAGTATTGGTTCACATGTTTTTCTTTTTTTTTTTGAGACAGAGTCTTGCACTATCCCTGGGCTGGAGTGCAGTGGCGTGATCTCGGCTCACTGCAACCTCTGCCTCCTGGGTTCAAGTGATTCTCCTGCCTCAGCCTCCCAAGTAGCTGGGATTACAGGCGCCTGCCACCACACCCAACTAATTTTTTGTATTTTTAGTAGAGACAGGGTTTCACCATGTTGGCCATGCTGGTCTCAAACTCCTGACGTCATGATTCGCCCACCCGCTTTGGCCTCCCAAAGTGCTGGGATTACAGGTGTGAGCCACCACACCTGGCCCTGTTCACATGTTTTTCTAAAAATTAGTCATTTGAAGAAAGAAGCCATAAGCATTAATTTGATTATCTCCAGCACCTAGCATAAATCCTAGCATAGAAAAGGTGATCATGAAATTTGATGAATGATTAAATGAGCAAGTAAATACACATATATATTGAATAAATATACACATATGTATACAGTGAGTGTATATATATACATATATTTGAATTCGGTGAATAAATGCATAAATGTTTATATATATATGTGCACATCATGCACACAAACAACCTTCTGCTCTTTTCTCCCAGATGCACACAATTAAAGTACCACTTCAGAAACCACTAATCTTTCTCCTGTGTGCCTTAGACTAGGCTTCCCCAACCCCCAGGCCACAGATCAGTAGTGGTGCGTGGCCTGTTAGGAACTGGGCTGCATAGCAGGAGGTGAGCCACCAGCCAGCGAACAAAGCTTCATCTGTATTTACAGCTGCTCCCCATAGCTCGCATTACTGCCTGAGCTCTGCCTCCTGTCAGATCATCGATGGCATCAGATCCTCATAAGAGCACAAACCCTACTGTGAACTGCGCTTGCAAGGAGGAGAATCTAATGCCTGATGATCTGTCACTGTCTCCCATCACTCCCAAATGGGACCATCTAGTCACAGGAAAACAAACTCAGGGGTCCCACTGATTCTACATTATGGTGAGCTGTATAATTATTTCATTATATATTACAATGTAATAATAATAGAAATAAAGTGCACAATAAATGTAATGTGCTTGAATTATCCTGAAACCATCCCCCCACTCCCCTCCCCGGTCCACGGAAAAATTACCTTCCAAAAAACCAGTCCCTGATGCCAAAAAGGTTGGGGGCTGCTGCCTTACACAGACAAAGTTTATTCATTACAGATTAATTATTAACATCTTAGCCTTTTCACAAGATGGCGCTGAAGATGAAGAAGGAAGCTCCTGCCCCCACCGAAGCTGATGCCAAAACAAAGGCTTTGGCCACAAAAAAAAAAAGATCCATATGGCACCCTCTTTCTGGTGGCCCAAGGCACTGTGGTTGTGGAAGCAGCCCAAATATCCTTGGATGAGCACCCCCAGGAGAAACAAGCTTACTCACTCTGCCTCATCAGTTCCACTGACCACTGAGTCTGCTATGAAGAAGATAGAAAACAACATGACAATCGAGATGGATTGATGGATAACAGAATGATAGATATGTGATAAAACAAGTAGAATAAAGTATTAATGGTGGATTCTAGGGAGTGGGCATATAAATGCTCATGGTAAATTATTTTCAACTTTTCTGTATATTTGAAAGTCTTCATGATAAACTATAAAGGAAGTAATGTGCAAAAACGAAAAAGGAAACAATTATACACTTGGGTTCATTGTGGATATCAAGGCCAACAAACAAGCACCAGATCAAACAGGCTATGAAGGAGCTCTATGACCCTGATGTGGCCAAGGTCAACACCCTGATCAGGCCTGGTGGAGAGAACACATATGTTCAATTGCCTCCTGATTTACGTTTCGGATGTGGCCAACAAAACTGGGATCATCTAAGCTGAGTCCAGCTGGCTAATTCTAAATATTCACCAGAAAAATAATCATTTAAAAGTAATAGTAATAAAGACTTGATGGCTCCTATCTCAGACTGCCTGGGTTCAAATCCAGGCTCTATCACCTGGCAGTTAAAGTTACTTAACTTTCCTGTGCCCCAGTAGCCTCATCTGTAAAATGAAAAAACCTTCCTTACAGGGATGCTTGGAATATTAAAGGAGTTAACACGTATCGAATAATTAAAGCCTAAAGGTTCAATGAGGACAGGAATTTTTGTTTTATTCATTGCCATATCCCTAGCTTATAGAAGAGTGTTTGGTACATAGCAGATGCTCAATAAATTTCTATTGAATGAATAACCAATATTAGGATAGTCAAAATCGAATCGCTGTTGGCTATTATTTTATGTTTGCTATAAAAGTTCTTAATTCCCATTTCAATCATTCCCCATCCCCCAATTACTGCCATTTTCACTTTGGGAGCCATGGCACTTTCCTATAATGACACAAGATGGCAGCATCACTCTCCTTTTAAGTTATCAGCCAAGCTCTAGTTGACCAGTTTTGGAAATTCTCTGAAGCATCTTTATTTGCAAGTTCCTCCATCCGTTCTAATTTTTTTTTTAATGAACAACATTAACTGTTTGAATTACCATAAGATTAGCTCTTAACTGCTCTAATTTCTAGCTAAGAAAAGATTACTACTTGTAAAAGGGTAAAAATGTTGACATGAATCCAAGACTGCTTTCCAGTACCACTACGATTTTGTGTTCTTAAAGCTCCCTTTTTGTAACAAAAAAACTGCTTGACAAATTATGAAGCCAAATGTGTTTCAGAGACACAAGGTGCAACAATGTTGTTCCCTTCCAAGCCTGTAAGAAATTACAAACAAAATACAACTTCCCCTCTGTCTCTTTACTAAAGACATGAAGCTAATTCTTCAGTCCCTCTAAGTTACTCTGTGAATTCACTGTTGAACAGCAGAAATTTCTGAGCACCTTTGAGTGTGAGACCTTGTGGGGTAAAGAAAAAAACCTTAGTTTAGAAATTAAGAGACCTGGATTCCAGTGGCTCTTCAGGAATCTCCTCACCACCAACTTTAATCAAATCTCCTATCTTTCCAAGATTCAATTTCCTTATTCTAAAACAAGGATAATAATCTCTGCCTTACCTATTCGGAAACAAGATCAGTGAATGTAAATAGCATTATAAACTGTAAGGGGTATAACTGTATTATAAATATTATAAACTGTAAAGCATTATACACTTCACCCTGCATGAGCTAATGTTAGAATCATTTTCATTTTACCTATGGGGAAAACCAGTTCTATCCAGTTAAGTGAGCTTGCCTCAGTTTTCTCATCTGTAAAATGGGACTAATGATAGCAACTCCACCTACTTCAGTGAGTTGTAAAGATAAAAATAAGATAATAGATGTGAAAGTGCTTTTAAAATGAAAGTACTTTCACTTGTACTCTCACAAGATTATTAGCTTAAGCAAATGGCTTTTCTTAGATTTCACAAACAATCCTGAAGAAAACAACATATAAGTAAATCGTTCAAGAAAATAAGTATTTTGAATTAATACTTTCTGAAACCTCAAGAAATTGCATATTTTAAAAAGACAGGAGTTGAGAGGCTGAAGATGTTATTTTATTCAGGGAAGGATGACTACAATTAAATGGTTATATTCAAGGTGGTACTTGATAAATGCTTTTTAAATAGCTGTATTTAAATGAGGTATTTTGTAGAAATAAAGTGTTCATTGAAAATATTAACATTCAACTTGCCAGACGCAGTGGTTCACGCCTATAATCCCAGCACTTTGGGAGGCCAAGGTGGGCGGACCATTTGAGGACAGGAGTTCAAGACTAGCCTGGCCAACATGGTGAAACCCCGTCTGTACTAAAAATACAAAAATTAGCCAGGCTTGGTGGCCATGCCTGTAATCCCAGCTGTGGCACGAGAATCGCTTGAACTCAGGAGGGCTGCAGTGAGCTGAGATCGCGCCACTGCACTCCAGCCCGGGTGGCAGAGCAAGACTCTATCTCAAAGAAAAAACAAAATTAACATTCAACTAATATTTATTGATTGCCTATTGTGTACCAAGCATTTTCAAATGTATTATTTCATTTTATACTTTTAAACCCTCCTCACAACTACAGAAAATGTCAGCCCCATTTAAAAGTTGAGGAAACTGAGGTTCAGGGAGGTTATTCAGCTTGCCTCAGGTCAAACAGCAGAAACCCTTCTGCTAATCCCCTGCCCCTTCCTGCCTTTTCTCAGGAGTATTACGGTAGATGTTTCCATTCAGTCCTCTGGAAGCACTCGTGATATCAAATCCAACACTTATAGCAGCAAGCTAGCAATTTTTGTTTAGTAAAAACCAGAGGTGGAATATGAATATAACAGTTTGGAAGAATCTGGATAAACAGACTCTTCTTAGTCAAAATGTCTATGTCTTCTTAAGTTAACTTCAATGGCTTAAGAAACTTAGGCTCTTACTTTTTGACCATACAATTTTATATAAAAGGGACTCAGCTACTTTCCTCTTCAATATTTCTAGAGCCAATTCATACCTTTTCAAAACTAAAAATAATTAATTATTAAATATTGGGAGTCAAAAAGAGAGAGAAAGAAAATTATGAGGTAACGAGAGATCTTAGAAATGAAGGCCATTTAAATGTTGGGAGGTATCAGTTATGTAAGAATGATGTGCTGTTGTTGTCACACACAATAAGTCAATCTTAAAAAGGCATTTATCCCTGCTGATATTATAGTTTTTATACAGACCAATTTAATGAACTGGATGTCATTTTGATGTGTGAATTTTGGTAAGTTTGTTTGCCAGAAATTCTAATTACTTAATTACCTTGAAATGACACCATTCTAAATTATCAAGTCTGTTTTATTGCAATTTATTTGCTGGTAAGATTATTCAACTTTAGGGTTTAAGGCAAAGAGGCCTTCAAGTTTATATGTCTGGTTAGCTGCTTTATTTCCCATTATCTAAAGAAATATGTTGACACTATATTTTATTACTTGTTCAAATCAGTTTTATAATAACAAGTATTTGTAGCGGTCCTTTGAAGAGTTACCCAAATATAATACCTGTTTGCATAGAACTACATACATCAATTAACACTATGATCTTTTAGTTATGGAAAAATAGCCCACAGAGCCTTATAAATGGAAATATAAAAGTCTTATTTAAACATCCATTTATTATCCCTTTTATCTGCTTTTGGAATAACAGGCTTTTTGAGACAGAGTCTCCCTCTGTTGCTCAGACTGGAGTGCAGTGGCATGATCTGGGCTCACTGCAACATCCACCTGCCCAGTTCAAGCAATTCTCGTGTCTCAGCCTCAGGGAGTAGCTGGGACTATGGGTCTGTACCACCACACCAGTATTTTTAGTAGAGATGGGGTTTCACCATGTTGGCCAGGCTGATCTTGGAGTCCTGGCCTCAAGCCATCTGCCTGTCTTGGCCTCCCAAAGAGCTACGATTATAGGCGTGAGCCACTGCGCCCAGCCAGTCTGACTTTTAAAAATATGTGTATTCTTAAATTAATAAAAGTCATTTCACAGATAAGGAAAAGCAGACAGGAAACATACAGGGAGGTACCTATAAAATTCATGTAGTTACTATTTCTTTCTTTGACTTAGGATTTCACCATTATTGATTGTGGTATTAAGGTCAAGGCTCTCGCCTCATGGAGCTAACAATGTTTGAGGGACAAATTATGACCACTTGCAAGTAAGACAAGCCACTATATTCCACTGCACATGACCCTGTCTTATTATTTCACTTTGCAAGTAATTTCATGATTTGCAAAGTGAAGTAATCAGATAGGGCCGTGTCCAGTGGAATAAGACCTTGAGTATCTACTCAAGGTCTTTTAGAGCTCCAAGGAGGGAAAGATCAGAGAGGCCTGCAGTTTCAAGAAAGCTTGCTTTTAGATTGGAATTCCAAAAGCATGGTTTGGTGACTAAGAATTTCAAAGATGACTATAATTACAAAGACAATTGAGTAGGCAAAGACCCTGGAATCCTGAATTCCTCTTAGAATGTCAGTAATTATGAACCTGGCCTTGTTTTGTTTCCACTCTTTTAACTTTTCAAGAGAAGGTGTTTCTCAAGAAAAAGCTATCTCAAGCATCTGCCTTCTGAACTACCCTGGCTTTTACCTGTGCTATTTGAATTGAGAGTGCTGTGTGTGATTTGCAGTTGGATGCTTCAGCTCCAAAACTTCTTGGGAGAGTCAGATCTTCTTGCTTCCAGAAGATAGCAATGTTGTCTTTCTTTGCAAGCCCCACTTACTAACCGGTGCTAACTTGAGCTTAATTCAGTACACAGCAAATCCCGTGCTAGGTACTAGAGAGATGCCGCGGCGCTGATAACCTACACAGTTTGCTAGTCTTTACCATCTGTAACACCAAATCAGGCTGACATAGGCTCATGCCTGTAATCCTAGCACTTTGGGAGGCCGAGGCAGGCGATCATGACGTCAGGAATTTGAGACCAGCCTGACCAACATGGTGAAGCCCCATCTCTACTAAAAATACAAAAATAGCCGTGTGTGGTGGCACGAGCCTGTAATCTCAGCTACTCAGGAGGCTGAGGCAAGAGAATCCTTTGAATCCGGGAGGCGGAGATTGCAGTGAGCCAAGATTGAGGCACTGCACTCCAGCCTGGGCGATAGAGTGAGACGCCATCTCGGGGGAAAAAAAAATAGTTAGAAGCAAAGAGTTGACAGTGAAGTTAATTCTGTGCAGGAATGAAGAAAGTACTCAGAGAGGAGGTGACATTTCAGAGGATACTAAAGCAAGAGAAGCATTTCCCTAACTAGAGGAGGAAAGGGTATGCATTATAGGCAGAGCGTGCAGGAGAGCAGGGGTGTGGAGTGTGAAAGGATTGTACCAGAAAGGGCAATTGTACCAGAAAGGGTTGATGGTGGCTGCATATAAAGTTATCAAAACCCAAAACAAGTCAGTGTAAGAAAGAACATGATTCATATAATGTATCAAAAAGCTACAAATATTTCCATTTCTGAATGCACACAAAGAACCACCTGGAAAAAACATCCATTTATTGTCCACTGTGCCCAGGTCCATGCTAGGCACTATAGAAGATACAAGGGAAGGCCCTTGCCCTGGAAATGTTTATTCTCTATCTGGAAAAAAGATTAACTCACATAAAATAATTAAAAATAAGATGCCAGCCTCTAAGGAAAAATGTTAGATTGTCTGAAACTCAAGCAGAGAGCATTTTGGCTGCCCTGGAATTCCCCATAGTAGTAGAATTACTCTTGGGGCCAAGAGAGGGGTTGCCTGAGACTCCTTCACCCAGAAAAAAGGTAATTGCTAACCCTCACAGAGCACTTCCTATGTACTGGGCACTGTTCTAGGAGCTTATACGGATTAACAAATTAAGTCTTCACAACCACCCTATATGAAAAGGAACAGTTATCTCTAGTTACATACGGGGAAACTGAGGCACAGAGTCACAGGATTGAAATCCAGGAGATGTGGTTCCACAGTCGTGCAGTCTTTTTCATTTTAGTATTCTCAAAATCTAGCGTAGTACCCGGTGTTGGATGTTAAGATCTTAAACAAACAAACAACTTGTTTTCCTTAAAAATTATATTTTCAGGGTAATACAATTCAAGTCACAATAAAGACCTGAAAGCCTCAGGTTTGTAGGTGAGGAAAAATGCATTTTAGCTGTACAGCCCTAACTTTTACTTGACCCAAGGCCAGCAAGAAAATGTTTCTTTTTATTTATATATATTTTTTCTTTGGTGACAATTTGGTGTTTCTGAACGCTAGGGGCTCCCGGTTTCTCTGGTTTGAGAGTAACTTTTCCTTTTAGGACTTTTTTTTTTTTTTTTGAAGGGGGTGGGGGAAAATGTGGCCTTAATTATCCTACGTCTTAGGCAGCTTAAGGAAGGGGCTGTGCTTTCGGAATCCCATCCGAGCCAAGTAAGGAGGTCCCTCTCTCTCTCTCCCCCCACGTCTTCTCTTTTTAAAGGACCTCGTGAAATAAAAGTGCAGAAAACAAACCCAGGCGATCACAGCAGCAGCCGCCGCGGCAGCAGCACCAACAGCAGGAGGAGCAGGAGGAGCCGGAGGAGGAGGAGGAGGAGGAGGCAAAGTTAGAGTTGGGGCTGGCGCTCCGGAGTTGCTGGGCTCAGCGCAGCTCCCATTCATTAAGGAACCAGCTGCGGAGGAAGGTGGCCGAGCGCCCGCGCTGCCCACTCGCTCGCTCGCGCACTCAGACGCGCGCCACAACAGCGCGCCCCAAGCTGCGCAGCTCTGCAAAAGTTTCTGCTCGGGATCTGGCTCTCTTCCCCTTGGACTTTAGAACGATTTAGGGTTGACAGAGGAAAGCAGAGGCGCGCAGGAGGAGCAGAAAACACCACCTTCTGCAGTTGGAGGCAGGCAGCCCCGGCTGCACTCTAGCCGCCGCGCCCGGAGCCGGGGCCGACCCGCCACTATCCGCAGCAGCCTCGGCCAGGAGGCGACCCGGGCGCCTGGGTGTGTGGCTGCTGTTGCGGGACGTCTTCGCGGGGCGGGAGGCTCGCGCCGCAGCCAGCGCCATGCAAAACTACAAGTACGACAAAGCGATCGTCCCGGAGAGCAAGAACGGCGGCAGCCCGGCGCTCAACAACAACCCGAGGAGGAGCGGCAGCAAGCGGGTGCTGCTCATCTGCCTCGACCTCTTCTGCCTCTTCATGGGTGAGCCCAGCCCCGCTGTCCCTCGGCCCCTCGGCCCCTCGTCCCTCGGCGCGCGTCCCAGCCCAGTCCGGGGCCGCGCAGCGCCGCGCCGCGCCGCGCCGTCAGCTCCGGGGGGCCCCCGCAGCCTTCCTGGGGAGCCTTTGCGCCGCCCAGGCCCGAAGCCCCCGCCCTCCCCGATCCCACCGACTTCTTGGCCTGTACTTGAGTGGGTCTGGGCGTGCTTAAGCGTTCGTGGGCAACTGTTAAACCAGCTCAGTAAAAGTCGTCTCCACGTTGGAAGCCCGGGCGGAATCCCGCGGAAGGTGTGGGTTCGTCCTTTTAGCGTAGGGGAAGTTGGTTGAGCCGCGCTCTAGAGCCAGCGTATAGCTAGCTGGTCGCCCTCCATCCGAGTGAAATGGATCGCCCCGAGAGTCGGGCTCCTGCCTGGAGCCGAGCTGCCTTCCCGGCGGCTGTATGTAAACATCCAGCCCTTCCGCCTTTGCTGCCCAGGCTCGCCAGACTGGCTAGCCGGCCTTTTCACTTGCTCCTCTCCTGTAGGTGCTTTCCCCGGGCTTGGTGCTGGGCACGGCTTCAGCAATCACTTGAGTGCCTACTGTGTGCCAGGTGGTAGGCGGCTTCAGGGGCATCAGTTTTAGCTCGCCCACTCTCTGACTCGGTGCAGCAGGGGTGATGAGCCCCATTTCCCTGATGGGCACATTGAGGCACTGGGAAAGCCAGCTGCGATCTTGTTTGGGGACCACAAATTTAATTGCGCCCCCAGAAAGTTGAGGCGATGGTCCACTTCTGTTTTCCAAAGTCGTTGGAAGCCACAGCTGGAAGAGCGGTGGGAGTTAAAGGAATTGGAGTGGGAGGGCGAGGAGGATTTATGAACTCGGTAGGGGAGGGAGAAAGCGCTTCACAAGAATGAACAGGACTTCCAAGGTTGAAGTCAGCCTAGGATTTTTTTTTTTTTAAAGCGAATCATGGTGTAATGGAAAACGCACAGTACTTGTCATCAGAACACTGCCACTCTTGCCACTTGCTGGGTGTGCCACTTAACTGCCTCATGGGCCTCAGTTTCCTCAGCAGTTGAATGAGTGGGTTGAAGTAGATGCTCTCCAAGGCCCCTTCCCGCATTAGGAACTCGGATTTGGTCCAGAAGCTGTTCTGCCAACTCTGCTAACTGAAGAAACATCTGTGTTCCCAATTCAGTTCCCTTAAAATACAGCTCCTGCACAGACTTAAGTCCCCTTTGAAATGGATTTGTCCATGCAGATTTTGCAGACCAGAGACTTCTTAGGCTGGAGTTATACCTCTCTGGTATTCATGACTCTTTCTGTAGCACTGCTCTTACTGTGCAGTGTCCTCTTGATGGTCCATAGTAAAGAAAGATAGGATTCTTAGAGTTTAAAAATAAGAACGGCCCCCTTCAGGTAAGAAGAGACAGCTGAAGGTATAATTGTGCTCTGTGGAAGGGTGGAGGGGTGGAAAGGAAGAAAAGTCACTGTAGTTCAGGTGGCACATCCCATTTCCACGTCTCTCAACATTAATTCAACATTAAGATGCTATGTAAAGGAATTGTCACTGGGGGGCCTACCTTCCTGAAGGCAGCTGGCTCATTATCATGCACAGTGGGACAGATTACTACTTAAAGTCTTGTAATCAAGCTGTTGAATTTTTAAAAGACCCTCTCTGGTCCCAGGGGAGTACAAGGAAGCACTAAACACATGGAAGCTGTTTGCTGTAAACTTGCCTGGAACTCCCTGTGTTTACTCAGTGTGTTTTGTTGGTGGCAGGGTAAGCTCTTTCTAGAGTGCCTGTGCAGGATACCCTCCTACCTCCTACTTTGTGATTAAGAAAGCAGAGCTAGAACATGCTTGACAGCCTTTGTACAATTTCCTTTCCACCCTTGTGATTTTAGAAGGCAGTCCCAAGAGATGGTGTCTTATGAAAGTGAAAAGGAAAGAGATGTAAAGGAATTTGCAAAAAGACACAACCATCAGCTGTAGTTTAGCCAGGGATGTAAAAACCCAAGCTACTCTGTTGTACATTGAAGGTGTAAAAAAGGTGTGTGTGCATGCATGCATGTGTGTGCATATGCATGTTTCAGTTCTTCATTTCCCCACTATCCCCCGTCCCCCCAAAGCTAATATTCTAACCTGTTTATTATATTTATTCACTGTTGGTCTTATGTTTGAACAAAATGATTTTGTTTATCTCCAAAAAGCAATAAGGCGTCAGGACCATGTATTCTGTTATAGAGGCACATAGCTACTTGTTTTCAGGGGTGCTTTGCCATTAAAACCATGGCAACATTTTCAAAGTGACTTATTGATCAATGTTTCCCCTGAGCACAGGCCAATTACAATATCACTAATTAAATGTCTCTCAAACACCTTTAACAGGAAAAATTCTTTGTAAGAGAAATATTTAGGTGAGATATTTATGCAGGAGAACTCTATTTGGCTTCCAAAAGAAAAATTAATAGCACAACATGTGATTTTAATATTCCGCACACCACAGTCCTAAAAAAAATTGTTTCCACTTTTTGCCTAAGACCGTCAGTATAATTTAATTTTTATATAGTTTATTGATCATATGGTCTGGATTACAGGGCACTAATATATTAAGAAGAGAGACAGTTTTCTGTTTATTCTCTCACAGGAATATATAAGAAACTTCATCTAGTATCTGGAAAAAATAAAAGCTGATGTGCTATGTCAGTGTTATGTAAGTGGAAATATGCAAGTAGTTTAACTTGTTTCACATACCTTTTTAGAACGTTAAATTCTTGGTGAAAAAGCAGAAGTCTACTCTTGTTTGAAAGCCAAGACAATCTGGTGTCAAATAACACCAGTGGGAGTTTACCTTTCATTGGACAGCTATCTTTACCGATTAATTGCTTTTAAATACAGTTATGAATCTTTGCGTGATAGTTTTCCTGAAATTGATTTTGTTTTCCTTTTAATTAAGTAATATTTATCACCTCCTGGTTTTTGTACATTGATTGTGGTGTATGGGGTTACAGGAGAGCAACAGACGATTCCCAGGTAAGAAGGGAGGAACAGTTATTGTCTTTCTAAGCTCTGTTAGTCTCTTTTTTATATAAATTCATATATGCATGCTTTAATGCAACCCCTATGAATAAATTATCTCCATTTTATAAACCAGAAACCATGTCTCAGAAAAGGGAAGGATAGACTAACACTGAAGTCGATTTGAATTGATCCCCAGTTCTCAGTTTAGCATGAGTGGAATCCTTTCCCCACCTGAAGAATCTTGAAATTCAGGTTCTTATCAGAAAATTCTGAAGCTCGGTTTGCAGAAAGTTCTGCCTCTCCCGATTTCCCAGTTACCCATTTGCACCAAAGCAGAAAAATAAAGTTGGTCCCAGTCTTCCAGTCAGTAATACGGAATTTGGGTGGTCAGCAACCGTGCTATTTAATTTGGTTGCTCCACCACGTTTTTGGATGTTTTTTGATTTCCAACTAAATGGTTGAGCTAAAATTCTAGAACTGGTTCTATATATGGGATACATAGAGTCATCATTTATTATTATTTACTTTAAATAGTGAGAGAGGGGCAGCATGGTATAGTGCAAAAAAGACACTTAGAGTCAGAAGCTTCAGGTTCCACGTTGGCCAGTGCCACTATCGAGTTGCATTGTGTGGATGAGTCGGTTTTCTGTGTGTCTCAGTTTTTTTCCACCTGCAAAATGACTGTGTGGGATTATGTCTATTATTGCCATTAAACATGCGGTGACCGATTTCTAGTAGAGGCTTGACGTTAGAGACTTGACATATGCTGAATGTCTACCCTATGCATCTACTCTGCTGAGCTCTTCATTATATATTAGCTCTGTGAATCATCACAAACTAGAGACAGTCATTATAGTCTTGTACTGCCACTGCACTGTACAGCTTTGGAAAAATTCATTTAAATTTTCTGAGTCTCAGTTTCTTTACCATTGCGAAAAAGGGAAGGAACTAGACCATCTTTCAGTGTCCTTCTAGCTGTAACAATTTTATAAGTCTAGGCTGGTAAATATTGTGATGTAGTAACATACCCACTGCCCCTCTTAGACCATTTGTCATTAATTGAATTGTTATATATGTATGACCAAAGAATTAATGTTGAAAATTAGCTTAAGTTGGTGTTAATTCTGGAGGGGAGGTAAGCACTGCTTTTATTAAGGTTAAGGCAATACGTTGAGAAACTGACTAGATTTTTCCTACGCCGGATGTGTCCTTTCACCTGCTTCCTGAAATTTACATATTTTCATTAATCAACCGGTAAATTGCCTAGCCAACCATCCTTCGTAGATTAAAATAAAGAAAAGAGCCTCGTTGGGTGCAGTGGCTTACTCCTGTAATCCCAGCACTTTGGGAGGCAGAGGCAGGAGGATTACTTGAGCTAAGGAGTTCGAGATCAGCTTGGGCAATATAGTGAGACCTTGTCTCTACAAAAAAATCAAAAATTAACCGGGCGTGGTGGTGCAAGCCTGTAGCTGTAGCCCAGCTTCTTGGGAGGCTGAGGCAGGAGGATACCTTGAGACTAGGAGTTGGAGGCTGCAGTGAGCCATGATTGTGTCACTGCACTCCAGCCTAGGATCATTTAGTAGGTAAGCCCTGTTGACTTTTCTAGTATGGTTAAAAGCTTTTATTCACTGTCCATAATGGTTAGGGTTTTTTTTTTTTTTTGAGACAGAGTCTTCTCTGTCACCCAGGCTAGAGTGCAATGGCGTGATCTTGGCTCGCTGCAACCTCTGCCTCCCGGATTCAAGCGATTCTCCTGCCTCAGCCTCCTGAGTAGCTGGGACTACAGGCACGTGCCACCATGCTTAGCTAATTTTTTGTATTTTAGTAGAGACAGGGTTTCACCATGTTAGCCAAGATGGTCTCGATCTCCTGACTTTGTGATCTGCCCGCTTCAGCCTCCCAAAGTGCTGGGATTACAGGTGTGAGCCACCGTGCCAGGCCCCTTTTCTGCTTTTAACCCTTTTGATTACCTGTCAATTTTAGATTCTTCCTTTACCCTTTCTTGTGCAGTTGTTTGGGCTAGAAAGCCCAGTTGGTCACAGCGTGATGCTAATGAGACCATAGTCAAGGGCTTCTTCCCTGTGTAGGCAGTTATATTTATGGAGAAACCCTGTCCTGTGTGTCAGTTCAATCCAGTACACGTTATGTGAGGAGTAATACTTTGTTTTGGGGTTGCCTATTACACCAGTATTTCATAAACTCACCTAACATGGGGCCTATCTGGTATGAAATACAGATTCTCGGACTCTTCTCCAGGATATTCAGATTCAGCTGGCTTTGAGCCAGGACCTGGGATTCTGTGTTTTATAAACGCTGCCGGTGATTCTTATCAGGCCAATTTTAGAATCACTATGTTGTTTAACAGCTGATATCTTAAGGGCAATTTAATTATGTAGTGGGCTTTTTGTCCCTGCACTGAATGTTCTGGCATTTTCTGCATTGTTAGGTTGTCTGTACTTTTTTTGTTTGTTTGTTTGTGACCAGTGCACCTGTCTTTTTCAGTAAAGATAATCAAGTTTGCAAGAATTCTTCCGAATGGAAAATTACCCCTGGATGCAGACCTGAAGGTGTCCTGTGTCTTTCAGTGCAAAGACTTGGTGTTGTTTCTAATGCCAAGAGGCTAAAATCTTTATGTATTTTCTGGTTGTAAACCGAACTCTATGTAATTGAAGTTGCCAGCCATGTGACTCTTTGGATAAATGAGGTGTTAATTTTAAATATTTTCTTTTGAGATATTGAAGTTTGTGCATGAGTGCAAGGTGAAGCAGGAATAAATTAGATTCCTAAATAGAGCCTTTAGAAGATAAAATAAGCTTGGCAAAGTAGTGTAGAAACAATACAAGCTTTGGATTTCCCCAAATCTGTGTTTGAATCCTGACATAAAGCAAACAGCCACCTTTTGCCAGCATGTAATTTTGGGCAAAAATTATTTAACCTCCTCCAGGCTTCAGTTTCCTCATCTGTAAAATAAGCAAACCTGGTAATACTTGTTTGTTGTGAAACCCAGGTGAGATAATGAAACTGAAAGCATTTTGAAAAGTTCAAAATCACGTTATCATTATCAGGTAGGAATGAAGTTGCTGTTGTTCTTCATAGAGTCGAATTTTCATTTTCCTCCCAGTTTTCTTACTCCTCAATGGTTCTATAAAATCCTCTTATTTCTTGGCAGCAAAGTTGCCTGAACTATATTAAGGAAAAAGATTCTGAGAAGAATCCCAAGAAAACACCAAGCAGAGTGGACACAAATGTTTTCCATTAGCTGAAGAAAAGCAGTGGCAGGTTTCCTGACCCTTTCTGGGAAAGTCAAAGTGCAGGAACCTCAATAGGCTTTGGTGGTTGCATTCTTCCCCTTTGAAAGGGACAAAGCCATATTATCTTGAGAGAAAGACAGATATGCCTTAGGAAGGGTGGGAGAGAATTTAGACACGTGGTCTGTTTTAGGGTCAACTCTCACTTGGGTCATTCCTGTCATTCAACAGCCCAGAGGAAAACCAAACTAAAAGAACAGCAAGGCCAGGCGTGGTGGCTCACGCCTGTAATCCTAGCACTTTGGGAGGCTGAGGCAGGTGGATCACCTGAGGTCAGAATTTCGAGACTAGCCTGGTCAACATGGTGAAACCCCGTCTCTACTAAAAATACAAAAATTAGCCGGGCATCGTGGTGTGTGCCTGTAATCCCAGCTACTCCGGAGGCTGAGGCAGGAGAATTGCTGGAACCCAGTTGGCAGAGGCTGCAGTGAGCCAAGATCACGCCACTGCACTCCAGGCTGGGTGATAGAGCGAGACTCTGTCTCAAAAAAAAAAAAAAAAAAAAAAAACCAGAAATGATTGGAAATGATCGAAACGCTGGTCATCTAGGGGACCCTCTGTATTTGCTGAGGAAGGAAGGTACTGAGCTAGGCTACCATATTTATTATACAGGCCAATCATGTGGTATAGAGACGATCCCTTTTATAGAAGAGGGAACTGTAGCTCAGAGATGTTAAGTAACTTGCACAAGGGCACCCAGCTAGAAAGCAGTCACCAACTTTTCCAGAGCTCTTGTCAGGTTACCTTGCTGCCCCACTTTTCAATTTGCAATTAATTGATTGCAATTAATGCAATCAAAGCAGTCTTTTTCATTTCTTTCCATTTTGTTTATTTTGGTCTTAAGGATATTATTGGGCAGTGGAGTAGACAGAGTAATATGTAAATAATTGCAAAACAGCTTAAAGCTTGATGAATAAGCTTCTCTGTAGACATAATAAAGAGAATACCATTGGAGCAATTCCTCATTGCCTAGATTCATGGAATCTTTAGAATTTGGAAGTACCTTGGAGATTTCATTATCAACGATACCAAGGTCATTTTTTAATGTCAGTTAGAAAAATAGGCCTTTTTGAGCTGGGGAAGGGAGAGAGGTGTGAGGGGAATAGCACGGGCTTTGGAGTCAGACTGGAGTCTGCTCACTATTATTGGCCATAGAAGCTTAAGCAAGTTTACTTGATCTCTGTGATGCCTCATAAATCCTCATTTACGAAATGAGATTCTGTGTGCACTGTGACGTGGTGGGGACATGCCTAGTACAGTGCCTGGTGCATAGAGACACTCAAGAGGTAGTTGCTGCAGTCATTATCATCACCACATCCTAGTCAATGCCCTTGGTTCACAAATGGGAACTAGAGGTCTTGGTTGGTTAGTAATTGTCCAGTGACAGTGAAAGAGGAGGACCTAGAACCAAGGTCTTGCCTTTCTACCATTCTGCTTTTCGGATGTGGACTTGTTGGTTTGAAATTTGATATTATTCATGAGGAGAGTTCCCTGGAGAGCTTTCTCTCTTGCGTGCGTCAGTAGAAAAAGGAACAAGACAAACAGGTTTAACTTTTAATCCATATCAGTGGATGTTAGCTGAGTGAAGCCAAAGATACATGGGACAAATGTGAAGGACTAGGCAGTGTTTTGAAATATTACTTTTCTTCAAACTGGTATTTTTTCAGGAAAGTACTTATTACCAAGATCACTGCTGAATGATTTGAGCTGGAACAGGTGCCACCTTTTTCAAATGATGTATCTCAGGGGAGAAAAAAGAGACTCCATGTTTTCAAAGTTTTTGCTTTTTATTATTTATTTATTTATTTTTGCTTTTTAAAAGCCTCTCAACAAACTCTCCTTATTCCCATGTGACTGAGGATGAAACAGTCTCAGATTAAACAGACTTCTCAAGGTCACGCATTGTCAGTGCCAACATTCAAAAGAAGGCTAGGTCAGGTTCTTGAACATCCTTGTGAAATTATTCTTCCCTTAAGTCTGGGTTAAATTATAAATTATGATCTGCATTTAAATTCCCAAATTTAAAACAAACCAAACAAAACAACGCACTTCAGACTCTTTTGGAAACCTTTGAAAGGAACTTGATTTCTGTGTGATTTGAAAGTATATATTGCAATCAAGGTATTGGTGGTAAGTGTGTTTTTGAGGTTTGTCACAAATTAACAAAATTATATGCCTAAAGAGTTTTGCAGAGAAATGCAAATCATTATAAGCGCCTTGTCATAATAAGTAGTGTGCTTTGGTTCCTGTTTATGTATCCCTAAAACACATAATACACTATTACATTGACACGAAGGAAACCATTCTCATTGATGGTTTCTTTATATCTGGCCCCCAAATTAGTTTGTGGTATCAATCAGTATAATTTCTAGAGAGCCTATTAAGCCTATGTTTGTACCTGTCTTTCAGGTATAAGCCTTGTCTTCTGCAGATGATTCTTGAGCACCTACTATATGCCAGGCCCCAGGGTTTCCATGGCCTTAAGGAATTCCCAGGCTGGTGAAAGTGGAACAGGCTTTTGCCTAATGACAAACACTATATAAGTGATGACTTTGGAGCCTTAAGGGAGGGCCTACTCTAGCAGCACAGTGAAGAGTGATGAAGCTTGCCTGAGGGTGTGGAGCTGGGTCTTGCAAGATAAATAATAGCTCACAAGCCAGGAAGGGGGAGAAGGTATTGCAGCAGAGTGAAGCACAGGTGCTGAGACTTGGAAGCAGGGACCTATTTGGGAAGAGTGAGTAGCTGGAGGCTGGAATGTCAATATTGTGTGTTTGCACTGTGCGGGGGAAGAAAGGAGGACATTGGAGATGAGGCTGGAGAGATAGGTTAGAGCTAGATTATGAAAGGGGACTGGGTATGGCAGGCAGCTAAGGAATTTGAGTTTTATTTTGGTGAACGAGGAGAGCAAATGAAGTTTTCTTTTTGTTTTTCTTTTTATTTTTATCTTGGAAGATTTCATAGAGAAACCTACTACCTAGGAGTGAAATTGCTGGGTCCTATGGTAACTCCACATTTACCTTTTTGAGGAACTGCCAAACTGTTTTTCATAGTGGCTGCACCATTTTAGAAATATCTAAAGGCGGCTGGGTGCAGTGGCTCACACCTGTAATCCCAGCACTTTGGGAGGATGAGGCAGGCAGATCACGAGGTCAGGAGTTTGAGACCAGCCTGGCCAACATAGTGAAACCCCGTCTCTAACAAAAATACAAAAAATTAGCCAGGTGTGGTGGCAGGCGCCTGTAATCCCAGCTAATCAGGAGGCTGAGGCAGGAGAATCACTTGAACCTGGGAGGCAGAGGTTGCAGTGAGCTGAGAGAGCCATTGCACTCCAGCCCGGGTGACAGTGTGAGACTACATCTCAAAAAAACAAAAACAAAAAACTAAAGGCTAGTTACAGTATGTAAGAAAAATACAATAGTTTTATAAAAGACCTTTGGAATGAACATATTCATGAAAAGATTGGAGGAGGGAATTAATTTAATCTTATTTGGGTTTGGGAGAGATGACTGGATTTGAGGGTAGGCAAATGGGAGGCAGAGGAGCTAAAGACCAGTGGGGTGGCAAGTGCAAGCTGAACCGAGGGTACTGTGGTGGGAGCAGAGAGGGCTGGATAAGAAAGACATGACAGGGCCGGGCGCGGTGGCTCACGCCTGTAATCCCAGCACTTGGGGAGGCCGAGTGGGGTGGATCACAAGGTCAGGAGTTCAAGACCAGCCTGGCCAAGATGGTGAAACCCCATCTCTACTAAAAATACAAAAAAATTAGCCAGGCATGGTGGTGGGCACCTGTAGTCCCAGCCACTCGGGAGGCTGAGGCAGAGAATTGCTTGAACCCGGGAGGCGGAGGTTGCAGTAAGCCGAGATCACGCCACTGCACTCCAGCCTGGGCGACAGAGCGAGACTCGTCTCAAAAAGAAAAGAAAAAGAAAGATATGACAGGTACTTCCTGAACTCCAGGTTGGGAGCCTCTGAACTATGGTGAGGCCACTCCTTCCAGAAACACTTTAAATGCAGGATTTATAGGAGATTTATGAAATCTATTAGTAAATGCTTTTTTATGTGCATAGCCTTATTATGAAGACGAGGCTGTGAGTTATATTCTTTTGTTCTGGACTTTTTAAGTTTCTCAAATGCCCCTTAAAATAAGTGGGCTATAAATCCTCTTGGCTTAGAGAAAGGGTTTTTCCTGGGTTGCAATGGTATTTTATTCAAAGAGCTTTATTGAGATATTCACATACTATGCAATTCATTTCTTTAAAGCACACGATTCATTGGTTTTTAGTATCTTTTCTTTTTTTTTGGTTTTTAGTATCTTCACGGTTAGGTAAACTATCACCACAACCAATTTTAGAACATTTCATCACTGCAAAAAGAAACGATACCCACTACCAGTCACTCCCCATTTTTCCTCCACCTTCCCACATCTCATGGCAACCACGAATCCAATTTCTTTCTCCATAGATTTGCCTGTTCTGAATATTTCATGTAAGTATAATCATATAATATGTGGTCTTTCGTGACTGGCTTCTTCCACTTGGCGTACGGTTTTTAAGGTTCATTCATATTGCAGCATGTATCCTTCATTTCTTTTTATTGTCAAATAATATTCCATTATGTAGACATAACACATTTCATTTTTACCTTCACCACTTGATGAACATTTGGGTGATTTCCACTTTTTGGCCATTATGAATAGTGCTGCTATGAATATCCATATAAATGCTTTCAGTTCTCTTGGGTCTGTATACCTAGGAGTGGAATTCCTGGATCATATAGTAACTCCATGTTTACCTTTTTGAGGAACTGCCAAACTGTTTTCCGTTGAGGCTGCATCATTTTAGAAATACCTTAAGATTGGGCTGGGTGCTGTGGCTCACGCCTGTAATCCCAGCACTTTGGGAGGCCGAGGCGGGTGGATCACGAGGTCAGGAGATTGAGACCATCCTGGCTAACACAGTGAAACCCCGTCTCTACTAAAAATACAAAAAATTAGCCAGGTGTGGTGGCGGGTACCTGTAGTCCCAGCTACGTGGGAGGCTGAGGCAGGAGAATGGCATGAACCCGGGAGGCAGAGCTTGCAGTGAGCCGAGATCGCGCCACTGCACTCCAGCCTGGGTGACAGAGCGAGACTCCATCTCAAAAAAAAAAAAAAAAAAAAAAGAAATACCTTAAGATTAATGCAGACATGTAAGGGAAACAATGCCAGAATTTTCCTGAAGATTTGGAATTAACATATTCATAAAACCACTAAAGCGTCACTTTGTTTTTAGAGGGATTTTTCACAAAGAAACACGTTTTGAATCAGTTTAGTGGTGCCACTGGGTTTAAGATGAGTGAGCAGAGAACAATAAGCTGACTGGGAAATCGATGCTGGGTGGTCAGCTAGACCCGCTCACCCACTGAGTAGCACTTCCACAAAGCAGGCTGTGACTGTGACGTACAGACTCTTGTCTCAGCAGAACAAAGAATGGATCTTCAGAGTACTTTGAAAACAGTTAAACATGCAAATAGTAAAACCTATATATCCCTGGGATCTGCTTTACAATATTTTAAAGGCATGAAATAGAAACCCATCTATTTTCAGTTCCTGATGAGGCTGATTTTTCACCCTTTTCCCCACCTCTGGATATATGGCTGTGTATGTGTAGTTGTCATCTTAGGAACTAAAATTACCATGTATCTTTTAGACTCATGTGCTGGATGCCAAGAAATATTAAAGAATATAAGACACAAATACAAATCCTGAATAATGAGTTGATCTATAAATGCACTAAAAAATCAAGTTGTAAGTATGTGAAAATTAAACCTCAAATATTACAAAAGGGTGAGGAAAAGGGATCCCCATTTATTGTTAGGTGCTTCACATGATATCTCACTTAACCTTTTTAATAACAGAATAAGGGAAATGTTTCAAACCTGGTTTTGCAGCTCAGAGAGGGTAAATGATTTGCCCAAGTTCTTACAGCTGATATGTATCGGGGCTGGAATTTGGACTCAAGCTTGACTAAATAATGACGATTGCTGACATTTATTGAGTGCTAGCTAGGTACCTCTCACCAGGTTAAGCAGCGTGTATACATTCTCTTATTTAATCCTCCCAATGAGCCTATAAAGTACTTGTTACTATTGTCTCCATTTTACAGAACGGAGGTAAGAGAGGTTAAAAATAACTTACCAAAGGTGGTGCAGTGAGTGAGTTTGAGAGGTGGGGTCAGACGTCTGCCTGGTGAGGTCATTCTTAACTACTAGGCCCTACTGCCTATATTCTCCACGTGTTTCTGAATCCCATGCTTTTCTCCACTACTCCATGCTGGCTTTCGCATTGGCAACCCCTGAAGCGTCGTCCAAAATGAGTTGGACTAGTGGTTCTCTGGACCTGTGAAGGTCTGTTAGGTCAATCATGGGGCATCCTCTGCTATTTTCAGTACTTCAGAAATATCTAGGCATACTGAACTTTCACCAGTGATTAACTTGTCAAGCCTAACTCACAGCATCAGCCTCTGCCTAGACTAGTCAAAGTATCAGCATGCTGTGTTTGTGATGTGAATGACTGCTGTCAGTTCACTCTGGTCTTGTTTATTTCTGCTAATGATGAGATGAGACACTTTTTGTGCTTGGATTAGCAAAAATAAACGATGTGAAATATAGTTTACTTGGTAAGTACAGATGTCTTCTAGATGTGTCATAGAGGGGCAAGAATTAACTATGAGGGATTTTTGTTGCTGAAAAGGCTGGACACCCTAGAATGGACCATCAGCTCTAAATTTTGAGGTAAGGAAGACCACTGGGTCCTGGATCCTATAGAAGGCTTTCTAAAGAAAGGAGGGGCTTTAGGCCAGGCGCAGTGGCTCACACCTGTAATCCCAGCACTTTGGGAGGCTGAGGCGGGCAGATCACCTGAGGTCAGGAGTTCGAGACCAACCTGGCCAACATGGTGAAACCCTGTCTCTAATAAAAATACAAAAATTAGCCGGGTGCGGTTGCGGGTGCCTGTAATCCCAGCTACTCGGGAGGCTGAGGCAGGAGAATCGCTTGAGCCTGGGAGGCAGAGGTTGCAGTGAGCCGAGACTGTGCCACTGCACTCCAGTCTGGGCAACAGAGGGAGACTCTGTATCATTTAAAAAAAAAAAAGAAGGGACTTTAGGCCTTTTATCATTCACATCAGGCAGTGGTAATGGGTCACTCTGTTTGTGACCCTTTTTGTACCTTAGGCTCGAGCTACTGTCCTTGTGGTTTGGTGTAACCTTTAAGTCACATTGAAAGATTTTGAGCTTCTCTGGTTAGTGGCTGCGGATGCAGCTCCTTCATTAAATGCAGTACATGGAACTTCTACCAGTAGCCTCTTCCCCACAAATGACCCACATTGTTGTAAAGTTAGCAACCACTGACAGGAAGTGGCAGAATGCGTCTCAGCCACACAGCAGATTTCATTAGACACTCTCCCAAAGTAGCTGTTTGGGTCAATTTGGCCTCAGTAGGTTTATAGAGAAGAATGGCTTAATCCATTATTTCTCATTGTTACATTTGTCTTGCTGTCATCTTAGCCTTAATGGATGTTTTCATTAGAAGCACAGTGTCTTCCTTGGAAGCAAGTGCACACACATATGATCAGAGAGAGGAACTTCCAGCAAGCTGAGATTTTAAAAATATTTCCAAAGTTGTTACCAACTTACTGGAGAATCTTTTGTTTATTGGGTTTGTCATTTAAATCTGTCTGGAGAGTAGCAGCTCCAGTGACACCGCAGGAGGGATTTTGGGCTGCACTCACCTTTGTGACTGATTGCTTTGAAAGGTCAGCTCTATAGATGTTATATGAAAGCAGAATTCCTAGGGACTGGCTGGGAAATTAAAATATACTTCTTGAGTCAAAGCATTCAAAATACAGGGCTTTCAATTCGAGGGGAATAATAAGCTGTCTTGATTTTAGGTTTAATTTTCCTAAGGCTATTAATGGAGTTGAGGGACCTTTACTTATGATTTTGCCATAAATTTGTTGTTGCAGCTGTGCTTGCCCTAGCTGTGAAATCCAAGGATTTATTATTAATTAATAATCCCTTTTACTGAACAATTCTACCAAATGATAACGTTTGCATCTGAGAGTTTGAATTTATATATTCTTTCTTGCCTCAATTAATTTTTCTCATTGTAGATCTCCAGTTACCTAGCCCCTCAAAGCAAACAAAACATCAGTACCACCACATGCAAAATATCATTGTTCACATGTCAGTTGGAACAAAGCTGGGAAACTAACCTTTTTGAGCATTGACAGTATAGTCAGACACATCCACGAATCTCATCAAATCATACAAGCCTGAAGGGGAGGTATTCCTCTAACTGGTTTTATAGATGAGACAGTCGTTGTGCAGAGAGATTGAGGGGCTTGCTCAGGATCTTGGGACTAGAAAATGGTGGAGCTTGTAGGCTATGACCCAACCAACACCTATGCTCTTTCCTCCAAGAATTAAGATTGCAATTTGAATTTTCACTATTAGTTTCAATAATGAGCATATGAAGAAAGCAAGCAAGTCAGAAAATTTAAAAATGAAATTATCACACCTTGTAAAGTGTTCAGATTTGACTTGAAGTTTAAAGTCTTTTGTCCATTTCAGTATTTCCTGTTTCTTTGTAAATCCGTAGAGGATAGACGTGAACTCCAAACCTTTACACTGGAAGAGAGAGGCATGAACTTTACTGAATACTTAATATGTGGCAGGCAGTGAGCTAGGGGCTTTTCATACGTTATTAACTCACTTGGATTTCACAACAACACTATGAAGGTGGAGGTTGAAGTTCATTCTGTTTTTCTCAGAACTTGGTCAGCAATGTCTATAGCAATCCTCATTGATGGGTTGGTGACACACTGTTAATAATTCAGCTAATCAGTAGCAGAGGTCATTTACTAACATTTCAGGGAAAATGCTCTGCTAGAATCTGCTTTGAGCTGGTCACTTGGGCCATCTATCCACTTTTACTGAAAATATATCAGAGAGAATCTCAGTTCCAGTTCTGTAGAGCCTTAGAAGAAAAGGTCAGGAGCCATGGTAGGAGAATACTTGGCCAATTTTCTACAGAAATGGAATATCTTTTCTGCAGAGAGACAGCAATATCAGATTGTATTGTTAATTCTTCTTATCAGTCTTCTCCAAAGGTGTTAAAAAGCCAGGGAAATGAAACATTTTGAGTGAAGGAGCCTGCACTTTGGAAAACGCTCCGTGTATTTCCCAGGCTATTGTAGGGCCCCTATTCAGTTGGGATTTGAATGGTGGTGTGATTAGCATGAAAGCAAGTGTATAAAGTAGGTCTTTTCTCCCTTTCCTAAAAGAAGTTTTGTGGCATTTCTTTTTCTGACAGAGTTGGCATGAAGCTTTGACAAACACAGACCCATGGAAAAGTTAAATAGGACTTAGAGTAGGTCCATTTTGTACAGATCCTACACACTTAGAATGCAGAGCAGGAAAGCAGCTGGCAAGAGGCCCCTCAAACCATAGGAATCATAGCAAGGGCTCTTCCTCCACTGTGGACCAAGGATGAATAGGAAACACCCACAAGACCAATGGGAAAGTATATCCTGGGCTGTTGATCATTTTCTGTATTACCAGAAAATGACAGATAAGCACATGCCTGTGAGTCCACTGCCTATCTCTCCCAGTATTTGTGGAGATAAATACAAAGTGCTGAGGGAAAGTCTAAGAAATATAAGAGGTGGAACCTGCCCTAAGGAAGAAGGTGACAAGATGAGAAGATGGACACACAGATGGAAAAAACATGGCCAGGTGTCCTGAGCTGATAATTAAATGAAATTTTAAAAATATTGAGTCTAAGAGATAGCTTGATGCTGTTCTTGCCTCCAGTCTCAGCTTTGCTGTATTAGCTGAGTGACCTTGGGCAAATGTTTTCTATTTTGTGAATGATAAAATGGGGATGATGATTTGTTCCCTGCCTACCTCACAGAGCTTTTGAGACCAAATGGTATAGTATCCCACAGGTATAGAAAAATATTTTGCAACTGCAAGCTCTTGTTTGTACAATGAATATTTTTTTTGTTGTGTCTGAATTTGCTCTCTTTTCTCCATTCTTCCTTTTTCGACTGCATTTTAGGCACATGCTATCATTTACCCAGATCTGAAAAAATGTCTTTACAGATTTTATTTCTAGGTTGATAGTCTCTCCTCCCCCGTGTATTCTTTATGCAGTGAGTCTACAGGGTCATTTGTTACTACTACAATCCCGATCACATAGGCCTGTCTCTTCAGAACAGGACTTTCTGACCCCTTGTTGACTACAGAATCCATTTCTCAGCATATTTGAGACTCTTCAGAATCTAACCCTAACCAAACCTTTCAATTTCTTGCTTCTCATCCCCATTACCCCACTCTCTCCCAACCCCTTCACACCCTTCTCCCAGACATCTCCACTCTGGGGCTTTTCCAGGTCCTTTTCTACCATGCCATTCTTTCTCTTTGCTTGGTATGTGCTATTTACTTCCTTTTTTTTTTTTTTTTTTTTTTTTTTTTTTTGTGAAACGGAGTCTTGCTTTGTCACTTAGGCTGGAGTACAATGGTACGATCTTGGCTCACTGCAACCTCCGCCTCCCAGGTTCAAGTGATTCTCCTGCCTCAGCCTTCTGAGTAGCTGGGATTACAGGCGTGTGCTACCATGCCCGGCTAATTTTTTTATTTTTAGTAAGGGCAGGGTTTCACCATGTTGCCCAGGCTGGTCTTGAACTCCTGACCTCAGGTGATTCACCCGCCTTGGCCTCCCAGAGTGCTGGGATTACAGGCGTGAGCCACCGTGCTCAGCCAAAAAAGAAGCTACTTACCTCTTGATAGTCACTTCAAATCCTGCCTGCCTCCTCTCTGAAATCTCTTCTAAATAGATTTTGAACTCCTTGTACATAATAGGTGCTGAAAAATTTTCATTGAAAAAAAGTATATAAAGATATTTTATAAAATATAAACAAGAAGTAAAAAGAAAAAGAAAAATTTTGTTGCCTATAATACCACAATCCTGAGGTAGCCACTGGTACAGTTTATCTTTTCTATAAATAGCTGAATTATTATTAAGTATAATTATAAAGCTAAACACTGGGTGCTTAAGGCCTGCTTCCTGTAAGTCAGTGTGATGAAATGGAAAAACCCTTTACTTGCTAGAGTTTGCAGCGGTCAATAATAAAGTATTAACTAACCTGAGAGAATTGAGAATATGTAACTAACCTAAGAACAGCTAGGTATTTTACATTCAGTTTTGCATTCATGTAGTATTTTGAACTTGTTTAACAAACAAAATTTGTGCTAACCATGATAGCTTCTATTAAAAAAAAAAAATTCTAACCTACCCTAAAAGCTAGGGCTGTATTTAGAAGGCATTACTTTTTTCATCCTCCTCTCTTGCCTTAAAGAGGGCTCTGGGCCGGGTGCAGTGGCTCACGCCTGTAATCCCAGCACTTTGGGAGGCTGAGGCGGGCGGATCACAAGGTCAGGAGATCAAGACCATCCTGGCTAACATGGTGAAACCCCATCTCTACTAAAAATACAAAAAAAAAAAAAAAATTACCCGGGCATGGTGGCAGGCGCCTGTAATCCCAGCTACTCGGGAGGCTGAGGCAGGAGAATGGTGTGAACCCTGGAGGCGGAGCTTGCAGTGGGCCGAGATCAGGCCACTGCACTCCAGCCTGGGCGACAGAGGAGGACTCTGTCTCAAAAAAAAAAAAAAAAAAAAAAAGGACTCTGAATGGGGAGAGGAAAACCCCCTGAAGGGAAAACATAGGCAAGGTGGGAGACAAGAAATCTGAGTTTACATCTTAACTTTGTTACTAACTGCTATGGTCTGAATGTCTGTGTTCTGCCAAAATTCATATCCTGAAACCTAATCACCAAGGTGATGGAAGGTGGGGGGGCTTTAAGAGGTAATTAGGTCATGAGGGCAGAGTGCTCGTGAATGGGATTAGTGCCCTTATAAAACAGGACTGAGGGAGCTTTTTAGCCCCTCTGCCCTTCCATCATATGAGAACACAGCTAGAAGGGGCCATCTTTGAAATAGAAAGCAAGTCCTCACCAGACCCTGAATCTAGTGGCACATACTTTCAGTGATGCTGAGTTTATTCCATGGAGGCAGTTCTAATTGTTCAAAAGGTTATGTTGATATAAAATCAACCTTCCCATAATTTTAACCCAGCATCAGCTATGTTTGGTACAGTTTTGGTAATTAGTAGCATTAATAATAGTATCTATCAATTTTATAATTGAAAGCACCTGAACAATTTTATAATTAAAAGCACCTGAATAAATGATGGTGATGAGTCATTTCCACAAATATGCATTGAGCACCTTTAATGCACCAGGTTCTGTGCTGGGTGTCGAGGTCTAATGATGAATGGGGAGAGGTTTCAGTCCTTGAATCTTCTGGAGTAGATGTTGGGCAGGTGCAGTTCTAGAAATACAATGTATACTCTGTATAGAGGTAGCCGAGTTGAAGGGATTATTAACACTATGTTTGAGGGGCTCTGGGGGAAGGCTTCTGAAAGTGGTAACATCACGGTTGTTTGGACAGGCAAATTAGCAGAATGCTTTTAGGCACCATTGTCAAGGAAGGGACTGCACTGAAGAATTCCCTTTAGCAGAATGGTTTCTTTGCCTCAGCTCTGCCCAGTACCAGTGACCATCCTTTAGAATAATCTTAGAATACAGGAGATGAAGGGGACAAGCATCAAAAGTTCTTCCTTCCTCATCCCCATTTTCCAGATGGGAAAACCAGGCTCAGAGATATTAACTGTCTTGGAAAATGAGTAAAATATAGAGAAAACAAAACTCTTACCTTGTGCAGGTTCAAGTTCAAATCCAGTAAATACCATAGTTTAAAGCATCCCTTTACACAATGGATTTGGTTATTTTGCAAAACAGATATTAGCCCCATGTGTCAGTAATCTACAGTCATTTGTACCTTAACATAAAATGCCAAAGCACAGTAATATATTCTTAGTGTAAAAAAAAAAAAAAAATTCAAGGCTGGGGGTGGTGGCTCACACCTGTAATCCCAGCATTTTGGGAGGCCGAGGTGGGAGGATCACTTGAGCTCAGGAGTTCAAGACCAGCCTGGGCAACATAGTGAGACCTAGTCTCTTAAAAAAAAAATTAACCATATGATTATGTTTAAAAGGAATAGCCCCTTGCTTACTGTTCCTCTAAATTCCACTCCCCAGAGGCATCTATTGTTCACAGTTTTTGGTTCTGCTATCCTTATTTTGAATGCACAGGTATTCTCATTGATAACTACCTTTATCCATATTAGTCTCCTTGCTTCCTGGAAGCAACACACAGAAATCTGTATTCCAGCCTTTGTTTATGCTCTTTCCTCTGCTAACGCACCCGCTCCTTCTTCTCTGCCTATACGAAGAGTTTCCATTCTTTAAGCTGGTTTCTGCTCACCCTACCCCCTCACTACTCCAACCTGAGGTAATTTCACCTCCTAATCTCAAGCCATTCCAGCTCTGGCACTAGTTAGTGACCTTAAACAAGTCACTTGAACTCTGTTGGTTTAAATTTTCTTCCCTAAATAATGAGGCAGTTGAATTAAATGGTCTTTCAGAACTGCAGAGGTCATCAAGTATAAAAGACTCTAGGACAGTGCCTGATAGTTGGAGGTCTTGACTGTGTTGAATTAACCCTGTCACAAGGTACAAATAGGAGGAAAGATGAAGAGATTCACCACCACGAGTTACCACAATTTTAACCCAGAATCAAAGTTTTGAAGTTTAGGAGACATTGGAACACAGTGGAAAGAGGATATGTCTTAGGGCCAGACAGTTCTGGGTTCCGATCCTGGCCCCATCACTTGGTAGCTTATAACCTGGATCAAGTGTTGTAGTAAACTTGAGTTTCCTCACCTGTAAAATGGAGACAATGATTTCTACTTTACAGGTGTCCGGAGAGAAAAAAATACCTCACAGACAGTGGGCTCTTTGACATGAATATACCCTGACCCTTAAGTGTTTAGAAACTGTTATCTGTCATAAATAATTGGCAAGCTTTGGAACAAATAAATGCATAAGAGAGTGCTACCTGGGTTTATAAAATGTGTAAGTACAAAGTATGGATTAGACATAGTTTATCTGATCTTTGAAAAGTTACCTTGGAGTCCTGCCAGAGAATCATATGGCAGCTGCACAGATGGAGCTACCTTTCCATTTGTGCTTACTAAAGCATGTGTTTTCCAGTTGGAAAGGAAGATGCTGGAAATTTGTCTTTAATGCATTCCAGTGTTGGGAGATGAAACCTACCTGAGAGATTGAGCAGAGCTTATTAACCAATATCATTTCAAGTTGATTAAAACTATCATCTTAATTAAATACCAGAGAACAAGAAGTTCTCAGTCTTCTGGTAGCAATGAAAGACCAAAGAGTCAATCTGAAGTTGTTTTTGCAACTCTTAAAATAATACTCCCTCTCCTCCCTCCCGTGAAAAGAGTTTCTTAGCTATAGACATGCCCTCACATTGAGGTTTCTGAAAGCTGTTAAGGACCACAAACCTGCTGGCAAAGCCTTCTGCTGCCAAGGCATCAGAGTTCTCAAAAGCAAGGGGGTTCAAGCTCAGGATACGCTGATTTGGAAAGAGAGCCCAAACAAAGGGCCTTTTGAGGCAAGAAACTGGGCTTTGGCTGCAGCGCAGAGCAATATGGGGTTGGAAAAGCGCCCCGGGGACTTGCAGAGAAGAAGGACTATGAGATCGATGGAGGAAGTATAAGGTTTCTCCATACAGTGAGGGTTTAGATTTCAAAACCCTCGAAAGTTGGTTTCAGAAGCTATCTTTCCTCTGTCAGCTTCACCAGCATGTCTATAAAATGTGGACTTGACAATGTTATATGTCTTTGAGCAGAAAAGGGAAATGATCCATGGAGGTACATACACATAACCATTCTAGTAAAGATGTCTGACCTGAAAGCCAGTGGTTTTCTTACAAGACCCAAAGCAACTGCATTCATTAGTGCATTCATTCACCCACTTAATTATACGTGTATCAACTGCCTACTGTATGCCAGGTTGCTATAGCTATGAAGTTAAAAGATACGATTCTATCAATTCTGATTCAGCTCAAAGAACTCAAAATCTAGTTCATCAAAACTGGAGGATTGAAGTAAAGGAGACAATCTTTCTTTCTCTTCCTTTCCTTTCCTTTTTCTTTTGAGAAGGAGTCTCGCTTTGTCACCAGGCTGGAGTGCAGTGGTGCGTCTTTGGCTCACTGCAACCTCTGCCTCCCAGGTTCAAGCGATTCTCCTGCCTCAACCTCCCGAGTAGCTGGGGTTACAGGTGCCTACCACCATGCCCAGCTAATTTTTGTATTTTTAGTAGAGATGGGGTTTCACCATGTTGGCCAGGATTGTCTTGATCTCTTGACCTCATGATCCACCCGCCTCGGCCTCCCAAAGTGTTGGGATTACAGGCATGAGCCACCGCACCCAGCCTC
Organism: Homo sapiens; assembly: GCF_000001405.40. Lineage (NCBI taxonomy): Eukaryota > Metazoa > Chordata > Mammalia > Primates > Hominidae > Homo > Homo sapiens. Next base: position 56,557,095 of record NC_000001.11, on the reverse strand, counting down.
TTTCTCTCTCTCTCATTTTTTCTTTCTTTCTTTCTTTCTCTCTCTCTCTCTCTCTCTCTCTCTCTCTCTTTCTCTCTCTCTCTCTCTTTCTTTCTTTCTTTCTTTCTTTCTTTCTTTCTTTCTTTCTTTCTTTCTTTCTTTCTCTCTGTCTCTCTCTCTCTCTCTCTCTTTCTTTCTCCCTCCACTCCCCTCCCCTCTTTTTCTTTCTTCTCTCACTATGTTGGCCAGTCTGGCCTCAAACTCTTGACCTCAAGCAATCTATCCACCTCAGCCTCCCAAATTGCTGGGATTACAAGTGTGAGCTACTGCACCTGCCTGCCCAGGGACAGTCCTTCTTGATAAATACTTCACACTACATTCACCTATACTGTCCCTCCCTGAACCACCCAGACCAGTTTTTAAATTTGGCCTTTCCTGAAGTGAAACTTTTTTTTTTCTTTTGAGACAGGGTCTCAAAAACCCAAGTCATTTTTGACACTAGCATAACAATGTTGCTTTTTTTCTAAAGGTAAATTAATTTATCATTATTGATGCTTTAAACTATACCACCTAAGATTTGGAAAAGACAGGGAACATCACTCATAATCTACCATAAATACTATTGCCATTTTGGCATATTTCTTTTTACTCATGTTGATTTTCTTTCAGTTATTAGGTATATATACATATGATCTTCTATGTTCTAATAGTCTTCATAATTAAAATTATTTTATCATTACTTGATCAATGACCCTTTAACATCATTCATAATTAAGTATTCCTGTATCTTTGTGTAATCTCACCTCTCTATATATCTCTGTGACCAAATTCCCCCATTTTATAGGGACACCAGTCATATGGGGTTACAGCCCGCCCTAATGCCCTCACTTTAACCTCTATGAAGACCCTATCTCCAAATAACTTCATACTCTAAGGTGCTGGGGGTGACCACTTCAACATGAATTTGGTGGGAGAGGGCACAATTTACCTTTAAACCTCTTCTCTCTACCCCTCAAATTATGTGTGAGGAAATTGAGGCCCAAGCCAAGTAGTTTGATTTGCATTTAGGCCTGACTCTAAAATGATACATTTTCATCACATCCTGTTTCCTACTCATGAATAGAAAATACTGTGAACCAGGGGGAAAAAAAATGTCTTCCTCGATCTGAATTTGATTAGTGTGAGACTGTTTGATGGTTATTAACTGCTAAATTTAACTAAGTTTGGCCAGTTGAAGCCAGCATCATCATGTTATTTAAAAAGCAGGTTAAGCACACACACTAGACTTACCTAAAACTTTTTATTGAATTTAAAATATGTGGCTCACACCTGTAATCCCCAGCGATGTGGGAGGCTGAAGCAGGAGGATTGCTTGAGCTTAGGAGTTCAAGATCAGCCTTGGCAACATAGCAAGACCTTGTTTCTACAAAAAATTAAGAAATTAGCCAAGCATGATGGCCCTTGTTAAGCATGTTTCACAAATTGTTCCATTCAGGGACACAGTGACCTAGAGGCTAACTGGCATGCCAATAATTCCCTGGTAATTGGACCACATTCCATAGTAAAAGTAGGCAGTGTTGGATACTTATCATCGATTTTTCTCTTGTTTCTTCATCTTGAGTTTTTGGGTGTTTTTGTTTGTTTGTTTGTTTTTTGTTTTTTTTTTTTTTTTTTTTTTTTTTTAGTGTTTGGCCTTCCTTCTCCTGCATAAGTGATTATGGCAAATTGCACACACACACCCCAACAGGCACTAGGGAAGGCCAGAACCAGTATAACAATAACGAGATAATGTAACCAGCCAGCCCATGGTCCTTACGGTGTCCATGTGCAGGGGACAGATAAAAGTCCCCGGGGAAGTCACCAAGCAGGAGGGATTGGATGGGGCCGGTTCAGCTGCTTCCATGATGGAGGAGTGGAAATGGCAACAGCATTGGTTTCAGCCCTAACTGAGATTGAAGCCTGTGAGTGGTGTTCCTCGGAGTTGTGCAGGGCATGGCCACCTCTGTCCCTTTCCACTAAGTATCATTTGGCAAATTACAACTCCTTTTCTTAATTTCCTCACATGAATACAAAATAACATTTGAACTGTGATCACCACATATACCCCATTGCTCCTAAGTCTGTGCTCTGTTCATCATAGGTGCTTCATAAATATTTATTGGGAAAAAAAAATGAATGAAGGGAGAGTGAAAAATACTGTGAAACAGAGATAGGGATTGACTATGAGTGTGAAGTGAACTTGGGAAGTTCCAAGACACATTTTATTTAAACCAATGTGGAGTGCTAAGAAAATCCCCAGTTATTTTCCTTTAGCTGGAAATAATGGAACATTGAAAAGACATTGGTATCTTTAAAACTCTACATAGGCTGTTTCCCTTGCCTGCTTTAAAGGGAGGGAAATACTCTCACACAGAGACAAAGAGCTACCCTAGTCATCTTTCTTTATTCTAATGTATTTTGAGAGAAGACCATGAATAATAACAATACTTTCCATGGATTGAGTATACTTTATATATGACACTGTATTTCTTTTTTTTTTTTTTTTGAGATGGAGTCTTGCTCTGTCGCCCAGGCTGGAGTGCAGAGGCGTGATCTCTGCTCACTGCAAGCTCCGCCTCCCGGGTTCACGCCATTCTCCTGCCTCAGCCTCCCGAGTAGCTGGGATTACAGGTGCCCGCCAACACGCCCGGCTCATTTTTTGTATTTTTAGTAGAGTCAGGGTTTCACCGTGTTAGCCAGGATGGTCTCTATCTCCTAACCTCATAATCCACCCGCCTCGGCCTCCCAAAGCACTGGGATTACAGGCGTCAGCCACCGCGCCCGGCCATGGCACTGTATTTCTAAACTTCACAGTAACCCGTCAAGATTGATTCTAGCCTGTTTTACAGATGCCCTAGAGAGGTTAGCAGCCTGCTTAATGTCACAGGACTAAAAAAAAAGGTAGATCTAAGCTTTAAGCTTTAAACACAAATCTATTTGACCCCAAACCTGTGCTTTTTCTGCTATCCATATTCTCAATCACCCACTCGAGTCTCATTAAAAAAAAAGCCAAAGTGGGGGGGAAAAGCCAAAGGCTTGATGACTTTCATAATACGTGGTCAGTATGTGAAATAAATAATGGATCTCTTTATGGGCCAAGACAACACTTGTCTCTTTCCTTCTTACAGAAGGCACATCATTCCATATTCATAAGAGTAACATTTACTGAGCATTTTCTGTGTGCCAGGCATTGTATGAACCTTCTTCGCACACTCGGTTTTATTCCTCCCACATCACTGTGAGAGGTTAGTTGGCTTGTTTTAGGTTAAAATTAGGACCCAAGTGTATCTGACTCCAAAATCCACATACACAACTGTATACATGCTACTGTTTGCCATTGTATGTCAGTTGCCAGTGGATAGATTGCCCTTCTCTTGCTATTTAGTTCGAATTTAGTCTTAGGTATGGTCCTGAATATATGTGTTAAGATAACCTGAGGGAGTCTATGTAGGGAAACTCCAGCAATGAGTTTCAGAGAGGTGTTTGAAGGAAAGAAGCAACCAGCCCCAGATGCTCTTGGAGAGCAGGCAGTGTTTATTTGAGCTGTGCTGTCCAGGACCTGGTGTGGTGTCATGGCTGTAAGAGGCCTTAATGCACCTCATTCAGGGTGGATGGGATGTGTCTCCAAGTGCAGAAGGCTTTTCCTTGGGAAGGTGGTTGGTCACACCTGGGTTAGCAGGAGCCAGCTAACTAAAGCTCCCATACCCCAGTTTATCTTCCACATGTCTGGCTGGCAGGGTGTACTTTCTAAAACACAGCCTTGCCGTGCCACTCCCTTCCCCAGACATAGTCATATTTTGAGTCCCTGCTGGGATATCCAGGACTGTGGAGAGGATAAATATTAAACATTGGCCCTGCAGCTAGGAAATCAGTCTTGTTTGAAAGCCACACACATGAATCATATTTTTAGGACTGATTAGAGGTTATTTAGGCCAGCATTTCTCAGAGAATGCTCTGAGGAAACCAAGTTCTTCTGGGTTGCACATCTCCCAGGTAAAACTTAACAATAAACTCTGATGAAGGCCCTAGGATGAAATGTCCATGTTGAATTTGCTTTGGGACATGACCAGCTAGTCTAGCCTCTTCTCTCTAATACAGGCTCAGCGAAGAAAAGGGACTTTCTTCATTCGCAGAAGAATCCAACCTTGAACTCCTGAGACCCCCAGCCCAGGACTTTTTCTGCTGCACAGAGGGCCTCTGCATTTTACTCCCCTCTTTCAGTTTTTGTCTTTAGGCAGTCCTGAGGCACATATTTTCTCCTGTATCTTGAAGCCATATGTTTCTCAGGCTTTTCTCCTCTTCTAAGATAGGCTGCTAATGTTTAGCATCTGAAATCATCCTGTTTCTTTCTTAAAGTTGTCCTGGGAAAGATACTGGAAAGCTAAGTTCCCAACTAGGCTGATGAGAAAGGGAGAGGAGAACTGCAGGTTTGAGTCCTCACAGGGTCCCTGTAGGGGAAAGATCAATTTTTCTATGAGAACCAGGAGCTCTCTGAGGGCAGAAACCCTGTTTTACTCATCTCAGTATTTCTCACTCCTGGCACACAATAAGGTTGTCAGTAAATATTGTATATTCAGTGTGGTTTAAAATTGTGTTGACTTGGTATATGCATATGTAAATTGCATGCTATGTAAATTATATATCAATTTTTTTAAGCCCTTTTATTTAAAAATGAAATTTTTAAGTTTTAGAGTAGTGATTCTCAAATCACCTTGGGATAAAATCACTTGGAAGTCTTATTAAAAATCAGAATTCTCATGCCCTTCCCCTGAAATTCGGGTCACGTAGATCTGGGCAGGGCCCGGAATCAGTCTATCTATCTATCTCTCCTTCTTTCTTTTTTTTTTTTTTTTTTATAAGTGCCTCTGATGGTGAATGGCTAAATCTGAAAATCACTGTCCAGAGGATAATCCCCAATTTTACATTTAGGAGGCAGACATGAAAATATGCCTTAGCCTTCAGGTCTGGAACCTTAAAACAAACAAACAAAAACCAGTGTGCATAGGAATATGGAAAGAACATATCCGGAACAGTCAGCCAGTAATACCTTGTGTCAGATGCAAGGGGCTATGGAGAGAAATGATTTGCAAGCCTAATTAGACCTGCTCCCCAGTTCTCAAACCTGCAGCTCTAAGCCTTCTGCTAATTGGCAGTCCCTTAATAGATTAGGACTTGGCATCAGGTTTGCATGTTATTATAAACCACACACAGAAAAACCCAGTGGCTGAGGAACTCCTGCCAAACCCCAGCCTAGGTTTTGTGAGGCTTTTGAAGTGCACTGGTCTTTTCAGTATTTTGTATAGTCAGTGCACTGAAAGGCATCAAACCATTTCTTTGGATGGGATTTGCGAAGGGCAAGTTTGTTGAATAATTAATTCGCCAAGACCCATTCTATCATCTTGATGGACAAGTAGGAGCTCACGTATGCCGTTTGCTCTCAGAAGTACCTGGGGTATGATAGGAGAGATTGTTTCTCATGGATCCTGTCCCATTCCCAGGCATCTTCTCCTTCCCCTTCATGCTTTGAGTGGGGAGGGGAGGAGGAAACGTGTGTGTGCACCTGTTCGAGGCAGGCTGCTTACCACGCCATCTCTTCTGCCATCCTCATGTCAGCCCTTCTAGACTGCAGGACCTGTCTTGAAGATGAGCAAATGAAGGTCCTGAGAATTCACTAATCAAGTATCACACTGCCAGGACTTGGCAGAGGTGGAAGGGGAGGGACTTGTATCTAGGTCTGCTAATTGCACACCACCAAACCGAACCGAACCGAACCGAACCGAACCGAACCAAACCAAACCCCAAACCCAGAAAGCCATTTTTGATTTCTCTGGTGTTCGCTTGATTAACATGGGCTGTGAAATGGTTTTCTGCAGTTCACATTGTGCGCAAGGATACCTGTGTACATCTGTGGATAATATGTATATACTGTAAGTGCTTCCCTCCCCCTCACATTATATTATAGAGTTTCCATTCTGAGGTGAGGCTACCCACGACAGAGTACAACATTGTGCAGTAGGACAGGGAGGGAGGGTGGAGAGTGGGGCTTTGCCAGAGTTCGCAAAGGCCTATGGGTTCCCAAAGCCACACTCAAGTATTCCTCAGGCCTTTGAACAATTCCGGGGGCCTTGCTCTCCCCTCTTGTCCTTCCAATTAGATTCCAGTTGGGGATTCTTCCACTTCTTTTCAAGGCCACTTCCACAAAGGGGGAGCTGTCGTGGAAGCTGATATTTCCATGAAAACCTTCCATTTCTCAGGCAAACATACCAGGCAGCTGTCATGGCAATACCATGGTGAAGGGGAATAATGTTATTTGGCATTTCGCCCTTTAAAAAAGTGTATGTGTGGGGGTGGGTGGGAGGAGGAGGATGGGCAGAGAGAACAGTGGGGGCTTTGTAATTTACTGCAATAGAGGGGTCAGGTGGGCTGGGTTACAAGGGGAGGAGGGGCATAGAGAAGGCCTGAACCCCCCTTGGGCTTCGCAACCCTCTTCCTCCCCTCTGCCTGATTCACACGTTTTGAGAGGTTGTAAAGGGGAAGCTGGGGAGTTTTTATGTTTTGATTTGGAAGAGGGACTCTAGACATTCTGTCCCTCTGAGAGAAGCTGGCTCCTTGCTGCTTTGCAAGGATTAAGGGCCTGGCTTCCAGAACCATTGAAGAAACATCCCAGGATCTACCCTTTTCTCTCAACAGCTGAAAAATGCATTACCCAGCAGTGGCTTCCTGGAGAGTTCTGGCAAAAGAGCCTCCCTCTGGAACAATAGGGTTCCTATAACAAACCACCTAGGAGTTGTTTACTGTAGCCAGTTCTCCCAGTGTATCCGAATGCCTTACATTTTGTTATTCCCATTCTGGTGGGGGAAGGGGCAGCGCTGCAGGAGCAACTGAGGATGGTCCCAGAGTACCTGGATTTCTGACTACAGGAAGCAGCTGCCCAGTTTGTGAGTGGCTCCCCTCCTTAGCTCCAGTTAAAAGTACCTAAAGATAGAATATCTGGTGGCTTCACAGTTCCATGGAAAGTCAGCCGGACCCAGCGTCCCTTTCTGGCCTACTTCTCTGTGGCCTTATCACTATTCTTCATTTCTAGTCTTTGTAAAATCAGGCTCATACTCCTTACCCGGAAAGGATTATTGGTCAGAATAAGGGAGGTGCAGCAATAAAGTGACCAGGAAAGTGTCTAGCGGTAGCTAATGTTAATTCCCACCTCCCTCCAACCCACCGCCCATTTTTGCTGATGCCTACTACTTCAGCAGAGCCAAGAGCTGCCAAACATTCGTTCAATTTTTATCTGAAGGTCTGCAGATTTTGGGGTGTTTTCTGGAGCTGTTCTTTATAAATGAGCATCTTTGAAGTCCAGAGGTCTCTACTCAGCCAGTCTGCCTTCACAAACCTAAAAGAAAGTTGAGTGCTCCTCAGTTACCCCAGCTGGGACAAAGGTAGGTAGTGAAGCCCCTCTATCACGTAAAGATGCTATGGAAATGAAACCTTGCTTACAAAATACTCTGCAGTCCTTGGATAAAGATGAAAACTCTTAAAATAAGAAAGGTCCACAAGACACCTGGGAAAACCAGCCCTTTCATTTTGCACATGAAGAAAATGAACCCCAGAGAGCAGATGAGGAAGTGTGATCCGGTGATCAAACTGGTAGTTGGTGGCAGAGCTAAGACTGATGGTAATAATAACATAAAGTTATTACTTAACTCCCAGACTTGCTTGTGCAGTCTTACTGATATCAGACATTTCTTCATTGAACCAATGACTAGTGTTGACTTACTTTCCCTGCCAGGATATTGACAGAGCTGATCCACCTTGGACCACTTGAGGCTTCCATTACCCAGTAGGCAAAAAGAACGGCCACACAGAATAGAACGCCTCCAGTGGATTTCAATTTATTTCATTTTACAATAATCCTAGTGATGACTAAAGTAGAAACCTTTTTTCCCAAGTAAGAAAATTCTTCTGGATTTAACAACATTAACATCTTTCACTGCCAGTTCGCTTCCTTTTTAGCAAGCATCTTTTCAGCATCTATTGTTTTAGGAACTAGACGGGCTCCCTCAAAGTACTTTTCTAATTTTTTTCCTTAGCATTAAAGGTTGGGAGATAATAAGAACTGAACAAAGCAGCAGTTTTGTTAACTTCTTGGGAAGAAAACCTTTTCAGTTCTGGATCTTTTTTTTTTTTTGGTATAGCCTTAAATTGGCTATACCAATTGGCATTCAAATGACATGGCATTCAAATGACAGCAAGGAGTATTTCAAATTCATTTACTGGATTAGTCAGTAAATAGGTATTGCATGCCAGCTGGCTGCCAGGTCATGTGCTGAGGGCATCCTCAGTGCTCTCACTTTAGTAATGCCCCTGTGGAAGTTCTTGTCACATTGTTGATGGGTGGTTATTCCCAGAGTATGCATTTTTAGGGGGGCAGAGACCACATCTTATTAACTTCTGTAGCTCATAATTCTCCCAGTGAGGAGTCTCCCCTTCAAAGGAGGAATTTTCTCCCTCATTTTCTTGCCACCCATTGCCATTTGGAAAACTCAGTGGGCCATGGAGAAGCCTTAGATCTCTGGGAAAAGAAGTTTGCGTTGTACTTCAGTTGGGTATTTTGTAATGCCATTTACTCCCTGGATACTTCTAAAATGAAAATGTAGCCTGTAAGGACAGCACAGAGAGAGGAAATCAACTACAAATTAAAAAGTGATTAGTGAGTGTTTAGGCAGAAGGTCAAAGGGATTAGTTTGGACTTCAAACTTTTCAGCTTTCAAGGTTTGTATTGAGTTACAAAATTACATCCCTGAATTATTTGTGCAGGTGGCAGCTGTCAGATTTGAAGAAAGTTTCTGTGTTTTACAAAAGGAACATTGACAGGACTGGGAATGGGGAGTGTGCTCCCAGGGTGAGGGTTGTCCTATCCACAGCACCCTGGAACGGCTCCAGTCTTGCTCAATGCAAGTGACAGTCCTTGTCTGAGCTGACACGGCCCTGTCCAGGTTACTCCAACCACCTTAGTGAGGAAACCAGTCAAGCCAGTTGATTGGCATCATGTAAACAGCTTGATAGTAGATTTTCAGGACTGGGAAGGAAGAGAACTAATCTTTGTTAAATACCTGCCTTCTGATATTTCATCCTCACAGCTTTTCAAAGTGGATATTGGCATCCTCTTTTTAGAGTTGAGGCTCAGAGAAATTAGGCAACTTGCTGAAGATCACATAGAGTGTCAGTGGCAAAACTGGTTTTCAAACCCAGGTCTGAGTTGCTTTCTTGAGATCTGTGCTCTTCCTCTTACTTGGAGCTGTCTTTAGGGCAGAAATTCCCAAGAGGATCCCAGCAAATGGGTTAGGGGTGTGCTGAAATGGATCCCTTAGCCCTTGGGCAGCTGGGCAGGGTGGGGCATGGCAGCTGAATCACTGAGCAGCAGTCTCCTCAGCTTGCCTAGGAGTGCCCTATAGTGTATTTTCTAATAGTATCACTATGTGGAAAAGGCTGGAAACTGAAGATAAGTGTCTTATTCTTAGCCATCCGGCCTAACCACCCATCTGAGACTTGAAGCTGGTTAGGATCCCTGTAAACAATTCCTGATGGAATTGTCTACTCTTTATTAGGGTATGGGATGTTGTGCTGTTTTGGGGGATTGCATTAAAAAACAGGATTTGGGATGTGGGAGAGATTAGGTTAAAATTTAGAAAGTGGGGAGAAAACGATCCACAAGTCCTAGAGTGTATTTGGTAGGGGGCCAGGTCTTCCAGATTTTGGTTTGTTTCCTATGCATTTATTCAGTACACATTTGTTGAACTCCCACTATGTGCCAGGAATTCTTCCTTGTATCAGGGACACAGAGATAAATAACATGAACCCTTTTCTGAGGATCTTAGCTAGTGCAGGAGATTTATGGGAAAGGAATAATTATGATGTTAGACAGAGGGGGCCCTCAACCTTCCCATCTATTAAATGAAAACAAATGACATTAAGATCTCTTACAGTTCTAAACTTTCATCAGGATATTACTGTTATGCACCTAACTCCATTCTGAGTAAGATTTATGATGCCAACAAATATCTGATGGACTTTAATTTTTAACTCCCTTCTCACCTTGCTTTTATTTTTTATTCTTTAGAATTAGTGGGCTTCTATCAGAAGATTGTTTTTGTTTTGATTTTAGATAGCTATTGCTTTTAAAAATAAAACTCTCTGATATTCCCATTTAGTATCACATAGAGAGCTATAAGTTGGGTCCACTGTATCTTCTGAAGCATAACCATGCAATTTATTAAGATAAGCTGTTTACCTGGCCAGTAAGGTAGATGTTCATTTTGACCTAACCACCAGCCTCATGGAGTCAATTTGGTAAGGGCTTTCTATTTCAGCAAGGCTTTGTTTCACATCCCTGTTCATTTTACTGTGTGACCTTTGGCAAGTTACTTAGCTTCTAAGCCTCAGTTTCCCCATAACTAAAATGCAGAAATGAACTACCTTGCCCTGGTGACTTGACATGATCTTTGGGTTTATAATTGAAAACATAGATAGGAGGCTCAGTCTTGGGTTAAGATTAAGACATACGCATAAATCCATACACACACATAACCATATACACATATATATACATGTCTAATGTGGCCATTACTTACTATGGGAGACATTACGGCATCAAGAGTTATTTCTATTTTCATAGGTTTACCCAAGAGTCATTAACCAAGGACTCTTACTCTCTACAGCAAGGATAAAGTCAAATGTTTACAAAGCCAGGCAATTAACATAAATGACTACAGTGGACCAGGTATAAGAAAATTGACAGTGCAAGCTCAATGAGAATGGCAACCCACAGACAGCCTTCATGTCAGGGAGATAGTGGGGAGTAGGTGGCTCCTGGAGAATGTGTATATGCTCCCTGCGGGAAGGCAGCCGCTGTTATTACTGCCTGCATTGCCACACACTTTAGAGCTGGTTTAAGAAGCTGGGAATCTGGATGTTATCTGCCTGTTATTAAATGTTAACAATTTAAAACATTTTAAACCCTGGGTAGGCCAAACGGAACATCTCTACAGGCCAGATTTGGCCATGGGCTGCCAGCTTGTGACCTTTGAGCTAGATCGCGGGCCATGTAGCTCAGTGGCATACCTGGAGTGCCCTTGGATTGCTCACCAGGGTGATTTTGTTCTTGCAGGGCCTCCCATAATGCTCACCTCTTCGCTTTTGGCACTGCATCTGGCTCCAGTCTTGCCTTTTGACTATCTCGATCTTTGGCTGTCCCTGGTGTCTGGTGTCCTGCCAGTCCACGTGTTGTTTATTCTGCCACATAGACGGGGTGTTTTGTGTACACCTGGGTAGCATGGCTTGGATGGGAGTGCACATGCTGACGAATGAATTTTTAACTGCTGGAAAAATAAAAATAAATGTATTTTTCTCAACCTTATTATAGACTTGCCTCCGATACAGCATCATGTGATCTTTTGAGAATATATGGCAGGGTTCCCACTGTGATGTTTCTTCCCTATGTCAGGGTTCCGGGTCTTGCTAACCACTGTCAAAGCCCCATTTGTCTACCCAATCCCAAGAAGTTCCTGGAATTATAGGACTTCATGAGCATGCTTTTCCCTGCAGATTAGATTGCGTATGGGAAGTGGCTGGTGGGCCCATGGCTACTTGCATGAGCTTTGGACAGAAATCTGGTCACATCTTACCCCCACATAAAAGCTTTTGGTGGCTCCCTGTCACATATAAGAGCAAGAAATAACTTATTTTATCAACTACATCTTAGTCCTCCTAATCAACTCTGTACATTGGGAATTAATGTGCCAACTCTTATTGTACAGTGATAAAAATAAAGTTCAGAGAGTTAAGGTCATACAGCAAGAATGACAGTTGATAGGAGTGGAATATGAAATCTTGTCTGCCTGACTCCAAAGATCATGATTAAATTGGAAAAAATAAAGAAGCAATTAATCCTGTTAGAGTGGGTTACATGGCTAAGTAAATCCTTTGTTGGAGAGATTTAAGTCTTGAAGGATATTTAAGTCTTGAAAGATAAATAGGAGTTGTTTTAATTCAGATGTTAAAGACATTACTTCATGGAGTTGTTAGGAAGATCAAATGTGATGATTTATGTAAGAGCTCAGAAATACTTTGCATGGATGGGACTATTGCTGTGTCTTAACTCTGGGTAGCCATGTTGCAAATGAATGCCTTTGGGTCATAAGGGAGACTTATGAGGCAGAGAGAGAGTGGCTGGATCTGTATGGTTCCATCTTAACATCTAAAGAGGAGCCTTGGTTTCTGCCCTTGTCCACTTTCAAGAGTTTCGTAGCTGACTTTCTAGGTTGCTAATATGTGAATAGACATAGTTCATGTATCCTTAGCAATAAAGGCTAACTGGTCCCATCTCTGAATGAATTCTAGAGTCAGACAGTTCTATTACATATCTTGTTTATGCCTCTTATCCTCAGAGTGGATACTGAAACAAATTACAACCTCTCTGACCCTTGGTCTTTTGTCTATATCCTAATAATTAATTTAGAAAATTGTTTTGAGAATTAAATCAATTGATGTATCCAAAACTCCTAGCACATAGTGGGTGCCCAATAAATGTATACTTACTCTCCCTTATTTAAAGAGGATTCAAAAGGAAGGAGGTCTTGGGAAGTGACTCAGCTTTACCTGGGATGGAAGGATTATGAGTCCTGTTGGCTCTGGTAGTTGTGTTTCACTAGAAATAAAACACCTCATTTGTGAAATATATAATGATGACAAAAGAGGTTTGGAGTTCTTTCAATTAAAGATATGAACCATGAGTTGCTGGTCAGTTTGTTTTATTTGCAGATGAATGTGGCAACCCTTTAAAAATCCAACAGAAAGGGCTGAAACAGCTGGAGCTGGGGATTTTAAGGAGGCTGATGTTAATTATTTTAAAAATAAAATGTTTTCACTGTAAGCACTTTCAAATAAGAAAGGACATCCAAAGTTCTTTTTAACGCCCATGGTGAAAGTAAAACAGGTTTCTCTTTGTCATGGAAACTGAGACTTTCAGAAGGCAGGGAACTCAAAATCACTGCAGTATTTTACTCACCTTTGTTTTCCCCAGCACCTAACACAGTACTCAGTACTTAGGAAAGAGCCATACTTGTTTGTTGAGTTGGACTAAAGACCTTGATTTGGGGTCAGGAAACCCAAGTACTAGGACTAGATCTGCCACTGGTTTCTCCATTTCTACCACGTAGTTGCTTTTGGTTCCAACAGTCTTCTTTTTGTGGAGAAAGGGCCTGAACTTTCCAGTACTGAAGAATGAGCAATTGCTAAGGAAGACCTCTAGACCCAGAATATTGCGTGTTCACACCAGCCAACAGCAAGTGTTTTTCATGGCAGCCTGTTTCAAAGGTAGAAAAATGCCTTCATAGTAAACTTAGTTTTGTCTCATCTGGATTGTGTCCAGTCTAAAAATCTGGACAAATATCGTAAACCAAAGAAAGTTTGCACACTTCTAAGACCAGTAGCAATTAATTACTTTAAATAGAAGCCCTGTCACTTACAAGCAACATAAATATTTGTATTTTGAACCTCTAAGTAATAGTTGTGTTGACCATTCTGGCCTTAAGTGATTTAAAAAAATCAGTGAGTGATATTTTAACAGGGAATATGTTTATAAAGAAAGGGAGGGTCAGGTCATAGAGTAAGAAAATATAAGCCAAAAGACAGACAGATGTGGGTTCAAAACCCAGTGACCAATTTACTCACTTGAGGACCTTGTACCAGTTATAAAACTTCTGGCCTCAGTTTTCTGTTGGGTATACATGAAAATAATAACCCACAACGTTTCATAGCTATCGTGGAGATTAAATTAATCAATTCCTAAAGTCTAAACTCCTTCAAGGTCCAGGGTCTTCAGTCTATATTTTGAATAGGTGGTCCAAATTGGGACCATTGCTAGCTCTGCATTTTAGGTGAACTGATGAACATTTCTGATCCTCAGTTTTTCCATTTGTAAGATGGGTAGAACAGTACCTACTCATAACTCTGTACTGTAGGTAAGATGTATAAACTTTTTATCACAGAGTTCTTTTTTTTTTTTTTTGAAACAAGATCTGGCTCTATCACCCAGACTGGAGTGCAGTGGTGCAATCTTGGCTTACTGCAACCTCCGCCTTCTGGGCTCAAGTTATCCTCTTACCTCCTGAGTAGCTGGGACTACAGGCATGCACCACCACACTCGGCTAATTTTTGTTTTTTTGGTAGAGACGGAGTTTCATCATGTTGCCAAGGCTGGTCTCGGACTTATGAGCTCAAGCAATGCAACTGCCTCAGCCTCCCAAAGGGCTAGGATTACAGAAATGAGCCACCGCAAATGGCCTTGTCACAGAGTTCTAATAGCTGCCCAATTTGAGTAATTATGCTATACCAGATGCCTATTTTTGTGCAACCAGTATTATTTTGTGGATAGATGTGTAGGCTTTCTGCAGATGTTAGTTTAATTATTATTCTCGCAGATCCTGGACTTCACGTATTTTATAATGACTATGGATTGTTTTGAGTGGAAAATTGAACAACTCTGGAAAAGGACATGAAGGACCTGGTATGTAGAAGACATAAAAGTCCCCTCCTGGTGCTCTGATTTTGGTCAAAAAATGCAAAGATTCCTTCTTCACCCTTCCCATCATTCTCTTCTTAGCCTCACCAAGGGCTTTCTAAAAAGCACTTTGTGAGAAGGAGGCTGTGTTTAATTTTGTGCAAAGGTGAACTGTGGCTGCAGGGAGCAGGGCTTTGGGGCCAGGTCACTTGGGTAACACTTCCCACATGAGTTTATCAATGGGTGGGCCACAAAAACTTAGTCTGTGTTTTTTTACACTCCACCCCCAAACCACCCAACCTGCCCCAGTGTTAGTTTTTCAAAGCCAGAGAAGTTTCAAAGGCCTGAACCCAACACAGGGGCCTTTCTTCATGCTTTGATTTTATGCCCATTAAGTGTTTGTCAGTGAGTTCATATTTCACCTCCTCTGCAACCTACACATCCCAAGAAATCCCCAGAGGTATATGAAGTTAATTGATCCTTGATTAAAGGAAGGAGAAATGCTTGGGTCTGGGTCTCGGTCTGCACTCACTAGATTCTTTTTTTTTTTTTTTTTTGGTCATGCTTTGCAAAAATTTTGTAATGCACCTTTTATTACGAATACATTTAAACTCCAGGCTATTGCGTTCAGAGTTTGATGAAATTAGTTACCTAGCACATGTGTGATACACAGTGAAAGTTCAGTTAACTTGAGCCAGTGCCATTCCCTTGATTGTTCTGAACAGTGCCTTTTTCATCAGAGGCCATGAGATTTGCTGAGCTTCAGTTAATTTACTAATACTTATAGATGCTTCCTTCTCTGAAGAGTGACTCACTTACTTTATAGAAAGCACCCAAAATCAGAGTCAGATCATTTGAAACCTGTTCAGCTCCATAACTTACTTGCAGAGTGACTGGTAAGTCACTTTAATCTCTTTGAACCTTAGGGTGGCTTAATGTATTAGTTTTTATGACTGTTTATCCTATTAGCCTTTGGGCCACTTGAAGGTTGGAACGTAGCCTCTTTCATTTCAGTGGCCCAGTCAATGCCTAGACTGTGGTAGGCAGCCAGGTTTGTCAGTCTACAATAGTTTATATGGGGACCCTCAAGACAGTTTGGGCACATACTAACTTACTAACTGTTTAGTAAATGTTACCTATTATTTATGCTTTGTGCTATTTTCGCCTTTCTTTCCTTCATTCCCTTCATCTCCTCTAGCTCTATAGCAAACTTTAAAATTGTATTTGTTTAATAGCCATCAGTTTTGTGACTGACAATATTGAAATCCCTAAACTGCACTGATTTTTTTATGGTTGTACTTAGCCCGTGGACTCTAGAAACCCCTCCTACTTATATAAGGGTTAACTGAAGTCTCCCACCCTCTGTTGGACACCTTGAAAGACTCTAGTAGAATAGTCTTTGTGTCCTTGGTGTACTCTATGCATATGTCAGTCATCACACTAGAAATAATTCAGGGTTCTTGCTTTTTTGACTATCTTACAACACTGTGAACTCCTCCGGGGCAGGTACTATGATGTATTGACTTCCAGAATTCCAGTGTCTAGCACTGGGAAATTTCTCCAAATGAAGTGATAAGGGACTATAGTAATTGGTAATAAAGATGGTGATGGTATTGGAACTAAAGGTTGTTGGAGAAGAACAGCCTCTTCTCTGTGTCCTGGAAGGGCAAGGCACAGTGTTATATCTCTGCCTAGTTGCCTAGTTGGACTAGCTGCCTAGTTGGGGGGATGTTTATGCTTTTCCCATCAACTGAAGGAAATCTGTGGTTACTCTTCCTGGATCAAAATCAAGATTTGACTGGCATCACCCTCAATAATACCACAAGTTTATAGGGGAGACAAAAAAAAGCCATCGGGTTTTGTAAATGCCATCTGCATGCCTTTCAAGAAAATAAACAGAACATATTCAGCTCCAATTTCTTGTCTGTTTGTGGTCTTCATCCACATAATCAGAACCGGAAACCCTCCCCAAGCCATAGGCAAAGAAAGAGGAAAAAGGATTTGGACTGTTCTCAGTTTAAAAGTGGGCAAAGGACTGACCAGATTTTTTTCCCTTGCCTTCTCTGTGAGGCTTTTTTCCCTTCTCTTTTTAACATTCATTGAGTGTCCACAGTGTGTCCCGGACTCTATGCTGGCATTACTCAGTGCTATTGCCTTGACTTTCTTCTCAACTGATTTTGATGATATGTGTCTTCCCCTGCTGGATTGTAAGCTTCTTGAGGGCAGGGTCTGGGTCATCTTTGTGTTCCTTGTAACTTAATATATATAGTTAAGCCTCAATAAATATTTGTTGAATGAATGCTTTAATTTTTATATAATCCCAACCACCCTAAAGTTAGATTTCATTCTTCCCATTAAACAGATGAGAAAGGGAGTTTTGGAGATGTGAAATAACTTACTCAAGTAGTAGGGAGCAGAGTCAAGATCATTAACCCAGTTCTGTCTAACTCCAAAACTCTTTTATATGTGTTTTATTGTCCATAGAAACATATGTTTTACAGGCCTATCATGTGAGCACTATTAAAAATAGAAGCTGGAGGTCTGAGAGTGGAGTGCAAATGTAAGGAACTTGGGGTCTGTTCCCTTCCTGAGTTTATTAGCAACACTTTGGCTCCTAGGCACCAGAGCAACTGCAGCTCAACTTTTAAATCTCAATATGTGGAACTTTAAAAGCAGACTATTAATAATATCATACTGCTGGCTTCTCAGCTACTTTTCATAGCCAACTTGGTTGCATTTCAAAATGTTTAGGCAGTGGCATGAAGATGGTTCGGGACCATATGATTTCTCTCCCAGGCTCCTAACCCCTAAAGATCATTTCTAAGCCAGAACGTTTATCCACTGCCTTTCCCTGCCCCCCTCTCCTCCATTGCAGAGACAAAGTTTTAAAACCTAATGGCTATTGCCTGTCATGGCCCCTCTGTGTTTACTTTGAGAAGGTCAGGCACAATACTGTGGTGTGTTGCTGTTCTTTCTTTTCAAAGCACCAGTATGAATTTGATAAAGTAAATTGTTGTTCTAGCAGGAAGCAGTTAGGGGTCACAAAATAAATAGCCATAGAATTCAAATAAATCCAAAGAATAAAACCAAATAAATCCATGTGTGTATGCACAGTGATACATAAATACACTTTTTAGAAAGTGAGCATTTTTATCACTGCTGGTCTGGACCAAAGTAATTGAAAAATTGTGGAGTTCATGGTACTTTTTTTTAGAGGTGGTCTGGGACTTCAAGCAACATGATGTGAATTTAATTCTTTTTGAAAAACATGAAAAATGGGATTTTATCTTTTAAACAACTGTTTATCTTGGGATTTTTCAGCTAATGAAATTCACATTTGAATGAAATCAATTTGCAAAGTTAAATTAGGGATTTAAGCATTTGGAGGTGGACTAAGAGACCCTGAATGAGCTCAGTATTCTCTCTGAGTCTCTGTTCCCTCCACTTGAAGATGGGTGGTAGTGCTTAAATAATACTTCAATGCAAAAATGGATATAAAGAACCCAACACATTGTGAGTGTGCATTCAATAGTGGCTGTATTATCCACTGTGTTTTTTTTTTTTGCAGCCCAGAAGTCTTGTATTTATTTTATTTTATTTTTTTAACATCTACTATGCCATGAGTTCATACGTTCCAGCAGCAGGCTCCTTCCCCTTGGTTCTCACAAAGTTGCACTTCTCTTGGTAGAGCAGGCTGGCACTTCAGTTGAACTCTTTGGCTTTCTTTTTCTGATCATTTTCCTTCATGTTTTTTAGGAAGTTATCTCAGCTCTTGGAGTGCTTAATGTGCTCAATATGCACATTAATTCTCTTGGCAAGAATCTTCCCCTTAACTTTTTTGTTTACAACAGTACCAACGGCATGCTGGGGAACACTGCAGACTCTTCCAGTTTAGCCATGGTAACACTTGTGGGGCATTCTTTTTAGAGCAGTACCCATTCCCTTAGATGTCTACAGCATCACCTTTCTCATAGATTCTCATATACGTGGCCAAATAAACAACTCCATGTTTTCTAACAGGCCTAGAGAACATCTATCGGGTGCCTCTCCTCTTTCCCTTTGTGTTTGTCATTTTGGTGAATTACTGGAAGATGGCAGTTCCAGCTGAAAGGCCACTGTGTTTTTGGTGGTCTTCCCTAGTTCCAAGATTTGTAAAAGAACTGGTCCTTTTACTTTGCGAAGTGTCATTGGAGCTTGGTATTGCAGTTGGGTAGTTGGGGAGGAAGAGGTATTTTGGTCTAAGAGAATAGCATGAATCCACAGTCTCTGTGTACTGGTTTCTTGGAGGCTTACTGAAGAGGAGCAGCAGAGCATGAAGCTGGAGAGATGTCCAGGTCATGGGAACTCCTAAAGTCATACTTAGGGACTTTATTTCACCCTGTGTCATGGGGAGCCATTGAAGAGGCTTTAGCAAGGCTTTGACATGCTCATGGTCCAAGCCCTTCAGGAAGCAAACTGGTGGCTATCTGTAGAAGGGAATGGGGGCCATGAGCCTGATTAGGAGGCTCTTGTAGCATCCAGACAAGAGTTATCATGGGCCTTTGCTTTTTAAGTCAAGGTTGTGAGGGACTTTTCTTGGCAGGTGATGGAATCCATTTGCCATGACCTTTGAGAGAATAGTATCTGAGCTGGCCACTGATAACCAGCAGCAACTGCAAGAGTCACTTGGTTCTCCTGGGTGCCCTGGGCCCTCTATCCAGGTCTGCAGGCAGCAGGGCCAAGCTCAGCTCTGCTCACTCTTATTGGTAGTTCTTTGAACAGTGAAAGAAAAGCCTGGAAAATGGCATTCATGAAGCAGCTACTATGTGCCAGGCACTGTGCTAGAGGTTGTGTGTGCGTTGATCTCCTTTAGTCATCACCACAACTCATTTTACTGTGGGAAAAAACTGGGACTCAGGGAAATGGAGTGGGAACCAGAGGAAGTGCTGGATCTGGGGTTCACATCCAGATTTTTTTACTCCAAGGCCTTCACTACCCCAGGCAGCACAGCCTTAGTGAACTTCTCAAAGGGGAAATGGTTAAGAGCTAAGAAATGAATGCCCTTGGAAGCATAAATCATGAGATTTGGGGCTATATTAGTAAATGTTGCGATTCGGGCTTTAATTTTTAGCAGGGTATTGTAGAACAGTGGGAAAACCCCTGCTCTGGCTCTTTCACTGCCTACCTCCGAGCTCTTGGGGAAGAGAAGAGGATAATGCCTCTCTCCTCATGGGGGTGTGGAAAGGAGGAATGGGGTTGTGCATAGCGAAAGCTCTCTCTAGGCAGTAGATCTCTACAAATGGAAGGAACGATTATCACTCTCAGTGATATTTGGGATGGTCTTTTCTTGAAGTTCCTCTTTGGCACTGATGTTTTCCCCTTCCTTTTTTTCTTTTTTTTTCTGGTATATGCCATGGTTCCACCTGGACCAGCGGGCCTCCCCTTCCTCATCATCGAGACAAGCACCATCAAGCCTTACCACCGAGGGTTTTACTGCAATGATGAGAGCATCAAGTACCCACTGAAAACTGGTGAGACAATAAATGACGCTGTGCTCTGTGCCGTGGGGATCGTCATTGCCATCCTCGCGGTAAGTGTCCAGACTCTGCTATGGTGGATCCTGTCTGACTTCTTCCTGTATTGTCATATTATAGAATGTCTGAGCCAACAGAGACTTATACCAAGTAGAAGCCAACTTTCTCTGGCCTATATTTAGCCAAGAAGGAAGGTAGTTAATCCTGAGAACACTAAATGTGAAGTAAGTGCTATCACCCCCATTATACAGATGGGAGAGTTAAATGACGTACTCAAAGACTACAGCTACAAAAAATTCAGGTTCAGCCTGTGCCTGGCTGATTTCAAACCCCCTTTCCATCTCGCAGACTTACAGTTCAGGAAGGCTAACCTGTCCAAATGAACTGCTCAAGGGGATAGGCAGTTAGCTTATCTTGCCTACTCTGGATCAAATGTAAGCTGCTGATGTTACATGTACCACATTTCATGTAGTTTTCTTTTGACTTGCCCACTCTGGAGGTTGGTTGTAAACTTTGAGACCCCTCTTTGTTTTTTAATAACATCGTAAACCAGGCACACAATCAACAGCTTGAATTTGGGGAGGGGGAAGGGAGGCTAGTAGAATTCTTTCCAACCTTTAAAAGAAAAACAGTCCATTTGGCAGTAGTTTCTTAAAGGTGGACTAAGGATCTTTGTGTTTGAAAACTGAAAAATGAAAGGTCTAGTTTTCCTGTGTGCTCCAAATTGACAGTTGTGGGTTTGAGTTTCTAGGAAGAATGGCTTTCCCTGAAAAAGGTGTTTGTTGTGGAAAGCAAATAATTGCACAGTATCATGTATTGAGGTTTGAACAGGTGTTTTTGAAAGTTGGAGGATCAGTTAATTGAACGCTTCAAAGGAGCCCGCTATACCCAAGAGTGTGGTGAGATAAGAAAAGCACAGGGACAGGAATGTCACATGCTCGTCACTCTCTGTGGCATTATTCCCAGCTTGCCTAGTGGGCTGCTCCCAGACACAGGGCAGTGGAAAGAGACACTCTTCAGAGCCTCTCGTAGCTATGTGAATTAGGTGGATCATTGATTTCTTTAACCTTCAGTTTCCTCATCTGTAAAATGAGATTGCTGTTTGGATTCCCTCAAGAGGATTGCTGTAAGAATCAAATGAATGCCATAATGCCTGGAATTGCACTCTGCAGCAGTGGGCTCACTGGAACGTTGAGAGTCTTTTAGTTGGGAATGGTTCTGGTTTTCTGACCTGGCCCCAGGATGGGCAAAGGAAAATGCTAAAGTAGCTTCTTTAGAGTTCATGTGTCTCCTCCCATCCTTCCTTCCCCAAGCAGAGCTTCAGATCAGCAGCTCTTCGCTTGCTGCTTGCCAAGGCCAATCCCTTTCTCCTTAAGGGATGTCAGCATTTCTTAGAAAAAAATGTGCTATTGAGAGCTTCATTGTGGCTTGCCCCTTTCCTTGTGTTATGTTGATATTTTAATTACAATGCTTCCTGACCTCCCAGGTTTTCTTGAAGCAGTCATGTGCTGTGGCCTCATTATACAATGAGCAACAGCATTGCTTCCCCAACCCATACAATGGCAGCAAAATGGATTAGATAGTGCTTTCCTATAGTTCCGGAGAAACACAAGCCAAGAAATTACTGCAATAATTGTTATCTCTTGTCCAGTGCTACTGTGTATGGGGATACACGTGAAAAATGTGGATGCATTTCACCCTTGAAACCCCAAGAGCTAGATATTCTTAGGGTTTTCAGTTTAGCACAGGGTTAAAAGCACATGCCCTGGTTCAGACCTGAGCACCTCTGCTGTGGACCATGTGGCAAATTAACCTTATGGTGCCTCCGGAAATACATCTGTTACATAGAGATACTATGTCTACTTACTAAGGTTTTGAGAATTAAATGAGCTAATGTATATAAAGTAACTCAGTGCTTGGCACATATGGTATGCCCAGTAAATGTTAACTATTTTTATTCTAAATGAGTAAACAGAGTCAAAAAATGGTGAAGTGACAGCCAGATGTTATATCTGGTAAAAATACAGTAAGGAAAGGAACCCCAGCCTTAGCTACACCCCCCACTCTTATCTTATAGTTATTTAATTAGAACCCAGGTCTCTTGATTCTCACTCCTCTTTGCAATAGGAATTTCTTACCTCTTGGTCCAACTGCTGTTGCATTTCAGCTGGAGACACGTGAATTGGGGGCTCCTAATGAAGCCTCCTAGCCTGCTTACCTGTCATAACTATCAAGGGTACTCACAGAAAAAGGTAAAAGCAAAGACCTCAGAGGTGGAGGGGATAATTCACTTTTGCATTCTCAGTTCTGGAAAAGCTATAGAGTTTAAATTTAACAACAACAACAACGATGACGTCGACACATTTCCCACTTTCCCAGCTGGCCCCATCCAGAACCCGGTTCTGATTAGAGGGCAAGAGTGACAGACGTGGAGGGTGGAGGGGCCCAGAGCTGGAAATTGAACCATCATCCTGCTGCTTGCAGTCCTGAGCCTTCTCCTGCTGAATGTCAGGTTTGTTTAAAACAGCAAGAGAGGCCTTGACTGAGTTGGATGCCCCTGCTCCCATTCAGATGGTCCCCACAACAAAGGAACGGAATGGCAGTGGAGGAGACCAGTGTGGTTTAGAGATGCAAATCATCACGCGTTATGGAGAAAGCAGACACCTTTCAATGGCAGGAGATATGGAAAAACCTAGTCATGTTGACCTCTTTTTCAGATGTATCTCAGATTCTGGAATTATAGCATAATAGGAATTCCTTCCAAATCCACAAAGCAATGGTTCCTATCCCTGCCTTGCAAAGGCTTAATGACTCTAGCAGCAGTAAGACTAGGAGCAAACAGTAAAATATCATCTCCTATCTCTCAGTTTTGTCTTGCACTGTATTACAAAGAGTATCATGGGCAAAGATTTAAAATGGGCAGAAATGCTAAGTATTCATTTTAAATATACATGGGCTCAGTGCTTGCCTCGCTCAGAACCTAAAAGGGGTTTATACAGATTCTTAATATCTAGGAATTGATGCATGGTTGAGTCACGGATGAATCTCCTTCTCTCCCTAGCCATAAAAATGCTACCTAACTTGACTCTGACTTCTGTAATAATATTCCTAACTAGAGAAAAAGTCAAACTTAGGCATCATCTGACTTAGGTACATGTCCCAACTTGAGTGCTTACTCATTCTGTGACTTGTCCTTCAACCTCAGAAGAGCCATTGGGCCCCTTGGAGCTATACTTTGCTTTTCTATAAATTGGTCACAACGGTTCACCAATGCCATAGGCTTGTTTTGGTTGTCAAATCATGTGATATTGTGTGTGTGATAAGTGAGAATCATCCTTCATATGTCTGTAGTGTTGTACAGTTTACAGCGTGGCTTTTATGTGCACGCTCTTCTTTGCACCTGGTAGTAATCCTGGGAGGTTGATTCTTACAGCTAACTCAACCGGGGCTCAAGGATATTAAGTGACTCTCTCATAACTAAGTAGTGGCATGGCCAGACCAGGAGTCCTCTGATTCCTACTGCTGTCTTCTGCAGCCTACCCTCCTTCCACAATTACTTATCAAGGGCCTATGATGTGTCAGGTGTTCACCACACAGTAGTGAACCTCAGCACAACCAGCTGCATGTTGTCTCTTGTCATGAAACTTAGCAGCTACCCCATCTCGAGCAGGCAAATAACACCTTAATACAAACTGTCATAGGCCAAGGCAGGTGGATCACTTGAGGTCAGGAGTCCGAGACCAGCCTGGTCAACATGGTGAAAACCTGTCTCTACTAAAAGTATAAAAATAAGCTGGGCTTGGTGGCATGTGCCTGTAATTCCAGCTACTTGGGAGACTGAGGCAGGAGAATCGCTTGAATCCAGGGGGTGGATATTGCAGTGAGCCAAGATCATGCCACTGCACTCCAGCCTGGGCGACAGGATGAGACCACGTATCAAAAAGAAAAAAAAAAAAAGCTACATAATAGGTTGCTGGAAGACGGGGCCAGGTCTTTTCCTCTGGGCACATGGTAGGTACTTAAACACCAGGCGGACATTTCTCCAGGAAGCATTCCGTAGCTGTCTCCTCCCCCACCTTCCAAAGGTCACAGAGAACCCTGGGCCCACCTCTGTGGCTGCAGTCACTGTGCTGATTGTCATGTCTGTTTACTTGTATATTTCTTGGCTACCCTGTTAGCTGCACAGGGGAGAGACAGATCTGATTTGATTTGGTATTGCTAGTGTGAGACATAGACCTTGGTGCTCAATATATGTTTGTGAAAAATCACAGAAGAGGCCATAAACTGGGGGCAGAAAATCAAAAGCATTAGGTCAAAAGATATCAGAGGATTCACAGAGCAGGGGAAAATGTCCTGTTTTCTTCCTTAAAATCTCAACTATGCTCCAGGAGGCACATGGGAACACACTCTGTACCACATGCAAATTTCTTGCTGGAGAGACAAGAAGAAGAGCTTAGTACCTGCAAGACTTGTTTATTCAGTATCATGCTTCACTTTGCCCACATCTGGACTTCATTAGTTCCTCCCCACCCCTCCATCTCCCTTTATCTACAAGAGCCCTGCCAAGAAAACAAGGTTCCTCAACATTGCCTCCTCATTAAAGGCTAGTCGAGTTTTCAACTCTGAAAAATGTGCAGTTGTGCTGGCCCAGTGGTGCATTAGTGGGAGACCCAGTCCCCCAGTTTACAATCCACTACATCTGTGCAATTACCAAGACCACCAACAGAGAGAGGCCACATTAATCCTTCAACTGTGTTGTCCCCTGATCAGATGGCTACAGAGTTCTTCTGAGACCTTCTTATCCCTGGGGGAACAGTGGGAGGGGGCATCTATTTGTGATTTAACAACACAGGCATGGAGAGTGCACTAAATTTTCATCTGTTCCCTTTCTCCACCACCCACACTCACTCTCATGTCCTGGAAGAAGTGAGAACAGCAGCAATTCTTCCTTAGTTAGGTACAGCTCTTAGGGATTCATGACTATTTGAAAAACGTATCAATACGGAGGTGATGATATGCTCCATTTGAAGTCATAATGCTTAGGAGGCCGAGAAATACTTTCTGTGAGGGGCAGTGTGTGTTGGGGATGGGGTGGAGAGTCAGATAACATTTATGAGCTATTTAATGGACCAGAAACTCATGTCTTATCTTAAATCCTCTTCAACAGCTATGTGAGGTTGCTATTATTTACCACATTTGACAAATGAGGGAGGACACTGAGGCTTATAAGGTTGAAGTGACTAGCCCGAGGTTACTCTGCTTAGTGAATGGGGGAACACGAATTAAAACCTAGATCTGTTTGGCTTTCAAGCCTAAGTGCTTTAACAGATGCTAATGAAGGCCCACTCTGGTCGGTGCTATGTAGAGTGCTCTTTATTTAGTTAGCTATAAAAGCTTTTAGTTACTGGGCTTGGAGAGTTAAATGTATGGAGGAAGATAAAACATCTAGACCACTGGGCAGATGACTGCCCAAGATTGACAGTGTGCATCAATGGTTTGTAGAGATGGTGATCACCTGCTGTGTGTAGGTAGGTGCCGGGTGATACCTCCCTTATAGCAAGCAGGCTTTGTGGTAGGCACCTTGGCCTATAAGCTGATGTGTAAAATACAGATCTTGCCTTTGGATCTTATGGTTTAAAGGGAATTCAAGACAAGTACAAGTCTGACTATAGGATTAGACCCTCAAGGAAAGGAAATAATTAGTCTGAGAATAAGAGGAGAGTCAGGGCAGTGCATGGTGGTGGCTGCTAGGGAGGGGAGAGCTTCAAGGACGAAACATATCAGATGCTGCAGATTGTCTGAGGTCTAAATAAAGTGCTATGGGAGTTCAGAGGAAGAGCACTTAAGGCTAAGGCTTATGCCAAGGCTTCATCATCATCATTATTCACTGAGCACTCGTCTCATATAATTTTCACCACAACCCTGCTTTTGATACTGTCATCATCTTCATTTTTAGAGATAAGGAAACTGAGACTTAGAGAGCTCAGTTGTACAAGACTCATAAGTCAAAGAGCCAAACTCTAACCCAGAACACTAGTTGGCACTTGAGCTCTACTTTAAGGCATAAGTAGGATTTTCGTCAGAGAACCTGACCTAGGCAGAAGGAGTGGCTTCAGCCATTTTAGAGACTTCAAAACAATGAAGTGTTTTCAGGGAATGTAGAGCAGACCTGTTTGGCTGAATGAATGGAATATAAGGGAGTAGACAAGGTTACAGCAGGAAAAGAAGATTGTGGCAAGATCGTGAAGACCCTTGAATGCTGAGGAATTTTTACTCCAGCTAATTGGCTAGAGGTTGATGAGAGTATTTTAAGTGAGCTTGGTCAATTTTCTAATTAAGGTAAAGATGAGGCCTGAACCACAGTGGTGGCAATGCAAGGGAAATAGAAAAAGATGGATGCAAAAGACCTTGCAAAAGCCGGATGGACAATGGGATAAGGGAGAGGAAGGAGTCTAAGATTGCACATCTTTGTCAGTCATATGCTTGGTGGCATCTTGAGCAGAACTAGAGGGAAGAGAAGTGAAGTTTGGGACAGGAGTGGGAATGGGTGTGACCTTAGACTTGGTTAATTTGAAATGGTACTAACATCTCCAGGTGGGAGAGTTAGCAGAAGATTGGAATTGGGCCAATTAGGGGAAAGGGGTAGGCTGAAGCTAGAGAGAGACAGAGAGATGCCCTTTTGAAGGTCATCTTCACAGAGGTAACAATTGAAGCTATTGAAGCAGCTGAGATCACAGCAGAAAGCCAGGAACACAATCCTAGGGAAGACCCACATTTATTGGGTAGAAGTCAGATGTGGAACCACTAGAAGAAGCAGACATACATTTAGAAATAGTAACAAAAGCATGGTGGTGTGATATTAAGGAAGCCTAGGAAATTCAAGGTAAAAAAAAAAAAAAAGAGTAAGAGGTTGCAGTAGGCAATGCTGCAGAAAGAACAGCCAGGAGATTCTTGCATGGACTGGCAGAGTTGGGCATTCAGGAGGCCCATGACTCTGAGTCCCTGACTTTTGGGAAAACAATGATGCTTTATGCCTCAGACTCTCTTCTTCATGAGACTTGTGGGCACAGGGCAGCCACTGCTAATTTCAACCATAAATAACTTCTGTAGCCCCTCTCTGGCCTCTTTGCTGTCTTTATTCTAGATATTGGAGTTCTGACTTACCCATAAAGCCCAGAAATTATACTGGTGTCTTTGGACAGATCTATGTCTTCATTACCTTTCCCAGACAGTGAGGCACTGATCTTCTGAAAAAGGCTGAAGATGATAACCAAGTGACAGAAGAATCAGAGAATAAATTTCCAATCAACTATTTCTAGTTACTAAAGACGCTGCACTTTATTGCAGTAGATGGAGCAGTCAGTGCCAGAGAAAATACAGCCATACATCTGTCTCCATCCTTAGAAACAGGACCCAGTACATTATATTTTTCCTTTCCTTTGGGACTGAGAACTAAAGTGAGAAATGTGATTCTCCCTTCACGATTCTCCATCATCAACAGTTTGTTGAATTAATCTTTTCTGGGCAAAAGAAGTTCATCAATTCATGTAACCGAGATGTAAAAGAACAACTTGACCCTCTGTGGCTAGCAGGAACTTAGAGGTGCAGGTGCCTTTCAAGATGGCAGGCCCTTACTGGGTGTTCTGTGAACATATGTCTCTCTGGAGACATACATACTACTGCCTAGTAGGACTTCTAAGAGAAAGCCAGCTCGATGCCATTGGGAACAGCACAGGAATTAGAAGGAGGAAGCCCCAGCTTCAGTGATGGTCTTCTTGCTGTCTCATTTTTATCAGAGTGATTCACTGCCCTCTCTGGCCTTCATCATACTCATTTATATAAGTGTTGGTAATAATTTAGTAATTCATATGGTGTTGTGAGAAGCAAACAGTATAGTGGATGTGAAAGTGCTTTGAAAGCTGTAAAGTACTAAGCCAATATTATTAAAGCAGATCAGAGTATAGGAAAGTTTGTCCTTCAGACTCAGCGGTGGAAGATGAGTTCTCAGTCTCTGAAAGAGATTGTTAGGCTGCTGTGCAAAAATATTACTTTTCTTGGGATAATTTACAAATAGAGTGGAATGTTAAAAATAACACAAAACAGTAGAGTAGGGTTGTCCCTTCTGCTTTGGGTTTAGACTTTGCTTCTGTCTTGATCTGCTGAAAAATACATACTAGATAAAATGATCAAAAGCAATGTCATCCATACATACATTTTCTGGTCCTACCCTGGAGGGGTGGTATTTCCAAACTCTTCATTTAGGTATGGTATCGTCCAAGGAGCTCTTGGAAGAGATACTCTCTACAAAACATGTTTTTTATTTGTTTGTTTGCTTTCCTCTTCAATGGAGGGAAGAAAAAAGTTAACTTTTGGAGGGCTCTCCTGCTAGGTGCCAGGCGATTGACATATCACCTTATCTAATTCCCTGGCAATCCTGCCACATAGATATTATTAACCTTATTTTATAGATGAGGACATCTAAGCCCAGAGAGGTAAAGTCACATGCCTAAGGTAATAGACAAGATTCAGACAGGTTTTTCTGGCTACAACGTTGTTGCTTCTTTCACCACCTCTTGCTCTATCTTTTCCCAAAAATCTATCCTAATTTTTCTTCATATTTCCTCTCCATAACAGTTAAATATTTGTAAATATGTGGGCAGTTGAGCTCTTTTTCACCAGAAAAGACAGGAAGAGGAGCTGTCTTGCAGTTGGAGCCAACCTCTCTCCAAACTGCAGCCCTTCTCAGGCAAGGACTGATCCCTTTCTGTCCCCTTGTAGCTTAATTGCAATGCTTTCCCATTTTATTAGTTTCCAGATTCTGTGCCAAGTGCTTTAAAAGGCAGGTAGGGGAGAATTCTCTGCTTGCCTGGCAGCCTGCCATCACCCCCAGAATCTGTTGCTTGCTGTTTCAGAAAGGGATCAACATTGAAGGCATTTTTCTCAGCAGTGAAATTTACATATCAGAACCTTGCTGACTGAGGCAGAAATGAGGGCTCTAGGGGCAGGAGTCTGGGAGTGGGGACAGAGTCTTTGTAGGAGGAGGGGGAGGGAAGAGCTTATTTTCTTACCCAGGAATAAAAACATTGTGAGTAATGAATAAAGTCCGAAAGCAGTAAATCTGGGACTCGAGAGTTAGGTGTGTAACGTGTCGGAGAACAATTTAAGCCTTCGCCTCGTCTGTAGAGGTGAGGTATTCAGGCTGCCTTTCACAACCCAAATTTCATTAAATAGACTTTTAAGGGTTAGGATTACAAGAAGCCAAGTCCGCCTGGTTCATAATGATGATTTATGGCTGTGTTGTCGACTCCCTGACCCTTCTGTACAAGGGGATAGAGAAAATACATAATTTGTTGCTCATTCACTCTAAAATCTGTCAAGGCTGCCCCAGAAGCCATGTGGTCCTGGAGTCATGTGTCTGCTAAATGGCTTCAGCCTGGCCCTCTCCTTAAAAATCTGCAATTGCTCTTCTGCAGTGGAAATTGGTTTTAATAACAATAGAAATGATAAAATTATCTCAGTGTAGTCTGCTGTGGGTCTTTGAGCTTAAGAGTCAGAATACCTGGGCTCTACTCTTAACTCTGTCACTTACTGGCCTCAAATCCTTCAGAAAAGTCACTGTCTCCCAGAGCCTTAGTATCTCCATCTGTAGAATGGAATATCTTCTTCACAGAGAAGATTCAATGAAACTACAGTACAAAATAAATGTAAGAGATGGCTGCTGTTAACATTATTATTAGGAATTTGAGGTACTGCAAAATGTTCTTTTCATCTCCTTGTTTTCCCTTGAGTGAAGGAAACATTTTACTTTGCAATTTACTATCTTAAGACTGTGACACTAAAAATGGAAGTTTTAGAGATGGGACATTAGAGCTGAAAAGAATCCCTGAATTGTAATCAAACCCCGTCTCCCTAAAGTAACTGGAGCAGAAAGGTGACTCATCTGAGATTAATCAGTAAATTCATAAAAGAGATGCTAATTTGCATTGGAAACTCACATGTTCTTTCTCAGCATCAAACAGGAAATCGTGTTGACTGATCCTCAGGCCACACCTGCTTAGAAACAGTTCCTTAATCTGTAGCAGTGTCTGGTTCAGGGAACCAGAGAGCAATCTGAGGTCAGGGATTTTATCTGGGGCCTTGGTTCTGCTCCCTGCTTCTGGTGTCATCTCTGAGCAAGTAACTTTCCTCTGCCATTGCTTATTACCTGTGCTTGGTTGGCAGGCTAGTGGTGGATGGTGGACGTAGCCCAGGAAAGTTGAGAATAAATGTCATTGCAGTTATGAAGTCATAAATCAGAGTCTAGCACCCTCGTTTTGCAAATGCAGAAACCAATTTATCCCAAATTCACTAAACAAGTAGGGACTTGAACCTCGGCTACTTGACTCCTAGTTCAGTGCTCTTCCTCCTGCATAAAAAATCTCATATGACTTATAAATAAGGAAGAATAAAAAAGATTAAGAGAACATGATTGTGGTAATAAACATCTGGAACTTGTTTGCCTGTGAGGTTACATAGGGTAAATGTATAAACAGGTTCAAAAGGGGAATTAGATCATGAATGGTAGGAAAGAATGCTGGGCAGGGAGTCAGTGCACCTGGGTTTAATCTTTAGATGGGAGCTAATTTGGACCTAAGTTTCTTCTAAATATAATGGTCCCTTTCATTAATGACTTGCCATGCTTCCTGGAGTTTAATCTCTGCAACGTGTTATCAAAGCATTCTTGGTAATGTTGAGGGGATACTTCCAATTTTGTAATAAGGCAACTCTGAGGACTACCGTCCTGCTCCCTTTCCTTCATTTGTTCCTTCAACTGATAGTCTTTGAGCATCTATGCAGGGTCCCATACTAGTTTTGCTCTCTCAGGAAACGGCTATGCCAAGATGCTGGCTAGAGTGGCCTTTGCCTATGTTCCTCTAATACAGAATTGTACTCAATATGTTCTGGGAAAACAAAATGTAGCTCTTATATATAAAGCATTTATGAACACAGAGTCACTGTGTCAATGTTGGCAGTGATAATAGCTGTTCTCACTGCTGCACCTGTTTGTCCCTGGGCCCAGCTGGTGTTTCCTTCCTACGTGGTCGTCCTCCCCCAGACTTTGGAGCCCTTGAGGACCTTGATCAGACCTCATGCCTTGATGCTTTCCTCCACTGTAAAAGAATATTGGGAGCCTTTGCAAAGGAGTGTCCGGATATGCCAGACTATTGCTTCCCTTGTGGCTGTGCACATGCTCTCTTCCCTCTGAAAGGGCAAGTGTAACTCATCATCCTGCCCTGGGAGGAAGTGTGAAGGGACTTTTGTGGTGAGTGATGAGTTGACCATCACTGTCTCTGGGCTGTGGTTACAAGCAGGAAGTGGCCATGGCTGGGCTGTGGAGTTAAGACAAAGGCAGCAGGGTGTGTGGTTGTGCACATCATAGGCATTTACCTTACAGAACATCAGCTGTCCCCCATCCTTAATGTAAATGATGTCACTATATCTATCTTGAGCATCAGGATTTCGTGACATAAAGAATATAAAAGCAATGTCTGGTATATAATAGGTAATCAGTAATTGGTGGATTATTTTCAGTAGTGATAAATCTCCTCTAAGCATCATATCATAGATACAGTATGAAAATCAAGAAAGATTTGAGAAGGATCGTCAGGCTCAGAGAAGACAGCACAGGCTGACTGGAGGAAATTCACAAACACTGAAGGGCATCGTACTACAAGTTTCTTAGTTGTTAGACTGGTATTCTATTCATCACACTCTGCTTCTAAAAAGTAAAAGCATCACTTTCTGTGATCCAGGTCATTTCCCATTCATGTTATCCTATTTGAACCAACAACTGCAAAGGTGAGCAGCCTCCTTTTATGGAGCAGAAGGCCAAAGCTTGGAGGATGTAGATTATTGCTGAAGGATACCAGATTGGTGGCAGAGTCTGAATTCCCCAGGACTTAACCATGGTGTGTCCAGCTCTTCTTACAGAAACTCTCACCATGGCCAATGTCAGCACAAGGCTGAGGCCCTTACTAGAGTCAGGTCATTGTTGGTGATCCTTTACCCCAAATCTCAGAATCTCGAGATTTGCTCAGACCCTGTGACATCATAGCTACCCTTTACCTTGTCGTTGATTCTTCATTTAGTATTTCTTTTCTATAGTTAAGTTCTTGTCTCTCCCTTAAAAAAAAAGATACACACACACACACACACACACACACATACACATATATACATATAAATATATTTGGTTGTATATTTTTGTTGTTACAAAGGGGCTTAAAACACCCAACTATATTAGCGCTTTGATCTTTTCTTCTGTGCATATTTGTGTCTGTATATTTCATAAATAGAAAATTAGGACACTCCTTTGCAAATACTGAATATTCTCCTGTGTTGTTGAATATCCGTTACGGCATCAGTGTTGATGATGAATCTTGATACTGCCTAATTCCCCTGTTGGATTCCTTTTAGATCATCACGGGGGAATTCTACCGGATCTATTACCTGAAGAAGTCGCGGTCGACGATTCAGAACCCCTACGTGGCAGCACTCTATAAGCAAGTGGGCTGCTTCCTCTTTGGCTGTGCCATCAGCCAGTCTTTCACAGACATTGCCAAAGTGTCCATAGGGCGCCTGCGTCCTCACTTCTTGAGTGTCTGCAACCCTGATTTCAGCCAGATCAACTGCTCTGAAGGCTACATTCAGAACTACAGATGCAGAGGTGATGACAGCAAAGTCCAGGAAGCCAGGTGAGACACCACCTCCGCATGGCCAGAGCCTGGACCCCTTTCATACAGTGCAGTTCAGTGAGCACTTACTAGCTGGGCCCTGGTTTAGATGGGTGAATAAGGCATAGTTCCTATTCTTGAGGAACTCACAGTCAGATGATTGAGACAGATATGTAAATCAATACTTCCGATATAGCATGGGTAGGTACATTCATTCATTCATTCTTTTGTTTATTCATGAATTCATAGGTGCCTGCTATGTTCCAGGCATGGGTCCAAAGCACTACCAAGGATGCAAAAATGAACAGGGCCTAGTGCCTGCTCTCAAGGTTACAGTCTAGGGAGGGAAGACAGACAGACAAGTGTGTATCAGGGATGTGAATACGGCCCTTTCATGGCCCTCTCTTGCTCTTGCAGGAAGTCCTTCTTCTCTGGCCATGCCTCCTTCTCCATGTACACTATGCTGTATTTGGTGGTAAGTACCCACCCTTTGATTTGAGCAGTGCTCAGTTCCAGCTTCGATCCCTTCTGATATGATAGCCCTCAAAATAGTTTAGGGGCATGCCATCACTGTGAAATCCTTGAAAAAGAGGTTAGCTAGAAAAGTTAGGTTTAATTCTGAGCGCTGCCACTGCCTTAGCAGAAGTTATTTTACTTTCTAGTTTTTTCCCCCATTTTTCAAATAAAAATAGTATTTGCCATAGCTGCTTGATAAGCATTGTGGACACATTTTGGAATTTTAAAGTGATAAAGACACTTGTATTAG